>NC_000011.10:114445151-114748182 GCF_000001405.40 Homo sapiens
CAAAATATTTGTTTTTGAACCAGGATTCAGTCAAGGCTCGTGCATTTCATTTAGTTATATTTCTTTAGTCTCTTAATGTAAAACTTTCCACCTATTATTTTTCCCCTGTGTCATTGACTTTCTAAAGAGACCAGGCCTGTTCTACCAGGATTTTTAAAAGGGTGACATTGCCAGAGGGAAGTTAATGTTTCTCTGAAGGTATATGTACGTTTGTATATGTAAGTCGATGTGGTAGCTAATACTGTTCTTAAACATTTATAAAAATAAGTTTTGGCATTAAGTACTAGAGCATATATTGTGTAAATGTTTCCGCCAGCCAATGTGGCTGATATCTGTTTTAAAGGTCTCATTTAAAATTTAGTGTTTTTAGTATAAGTTACTTTTTGGGGACATAAATATGCATATGATTTGTTTAAAAATTTGGATTGTAAATAAAGGTTTATCTACCTATGTGATTCAGTTAAATTTTTAGTGTTAGTGGTGTGAATTTTGTGACACTGGGAGAAAGTTTGCATATCAGGTATGACCTTAGAAAGTAACAAATAGATTTGTGCATTACATCAAGCATGTGGAATGATAGATTTGTCCTTCTGTTCATGAGAGGTCATTTACAAATTTATAAGGAGCTAAACTGACTAAGTACTTGGAAATCTGTACTTGTAAGCTAATCACATTTACCCAAACCTGATTTAGAAATATAGAGGTGCTTTTAGGAATTGTTTGAATTTTAAAAAATCATCTCCATTTCAAATACAACTTATGAATTTTGATATCCTGTTGTATAATACTAGAAATATAGAGATGCAGTATGCTTCGTGTCTTTCTAGGAAATTCAGTTCATGAAGATAAGAAGTTTCTTGACAAATACATGCCCCAGTTCATGAAACATCTTCATTATAGAATAATTGATGTGAGCACTGTTAAAGAACTGTGCAGGTAAGGGCTATATTTAGGATCCATTAAATTACCTCATTTAGCATGTTTTAATTGAGAATTTGTGGAAAGTAATTGGATAGAGCTGTAGAACTAAGGCTACCAAGTGGGTTCATATCTTCCTCATCCCATTCTTGCTTGTATAGGACCTTAACTTACCCTGGACTGGTGAGAATTGGGAGCAACAACGTCAGACATGTTCCCAGTAAATAAGCCAATGCCTGGCACAAAATAAGTGCTCAATACATTTTCTGGATTAACTAATATTATGTGGAAGTCTTGTGACTGGGAACATATAGATGAAAAGCTCTTAAGTACTTTAGAAAATAGTGGATCGACATATGTGTAAAAAAACGCACCCTGAAAATATACTCTATGATGACTCCTATAGTGAAAATGTGCGTATGGACTAGTGAGGTCACAAGGGAAGCAGCATCTAACTGTGCTGGAGCAAGAGGAATGGGGAGTCAGAGAAACCTTTACATAGCAAGGAAATAGCTTTGAAATTGAGATGTGAAGAAGAGTGGAAGTCTTGCAGGCATTTTATTGAGGAGAGAGCATTCAGAGAGAGCAGACAGAAGTATAAGAATGTGAGGGAGCAGGAAGCTAAGGCAAAATGTGTTAAATGAATCCCAAAGCATTCATTAATGCTGGAGTGCAAAGCATGAGGTTGGAGAAGGTGGGAGGTGGTTCTAGGGCCTCAAGAGCTTGCACACCATGCCAGTGAAGTTCACTATGATCTTGCAAGGAATGGGGTTCCTTTGAGAAAGTGTAGGTAGAAGAGTGAGTGATAACGATCGTTCTGATTCGAAGGTGGCAAGAAAAGTGGTAGAAAGATAGAAAGGAGGCTTTTTTTTTTTTTTTTTTTTTTTGAGACGGAGTCTCGTTCTGTCGCCCAGGCGGGAGTGCTGTGGCGCGATCTCCGCTCACTGCAAGCTCCGCCTTCCGGATTCACGCCATTCTCCTGCCTCAGCCTCCCGAGTAGCTGGGACTACAGGCGCCCGCCACTGCGCCCGGCTAATTTTTTGTATTTTTAGTAGAGACGGGGTTTCACCGTGGTCTCGATCTCCTGACCTCGTGATCCGCCTGCCTCGGCCTCCCAAAGTGCTGGGATTACAGGCGTGAGCCACCGCGCCCGGCCTGAAAGGAGGCTTTTCTGCCATCTTGGGGAGAAGAATGAACTGGAGAAAGGGCAGGGCATGGAAATGAGGGGCTTGTATGATAAAAATGTGAGAGGGTCAGTTGACAGACACTCAGTGTTCGAATGAGGTGGTGTGAAAAGGAAGAGGTATAATGTTATTCTGATGTTTGTAGTTTGAGCAGCTTTGGTGGATGATGGCAGTGTTCAAATAAAAAGGAGAAGAAGAAGAGTAGATATGGTGGATGGGGCAGGGGAGGTGTTGACAATGGTGGGTGTGTTTTGATGTATGTTGAATTAGAAGTGTCTGGTAGATTTTTAGATGGAGATATCTAGTGGGCAGTTGCATATCCATGACAGAAACTCTAGGGAGGGCTGGGCTGGATTTCCAGATTTAGCAATCTTACACACTGATGAGCTTGCTCATAGAAAATATATAGAAGAAAGAGAGGAGAGGGTAGAAGATAGAGGCCCCGGCAAAGAAGCAACTTGAGAATCATGACTCAAATGCCATTTTCAATGTTAATGGATTACTTGAAGGAGGTAATTGTTCAGTATATTTGAGACAGCTTCCTTTGAGAGTTCCATTTCTGCTGTGTATAGACGCTGGTATCCAGAAGAATATGAATTTGCACCAAAGAAGGCTGCTTCTCATAGGTAAGTTTGAGTTCTACCAAGCGTTTTCCAGTCTGACACACACTTAACTCCCAAATTCCTGACTGCTTGAAATAATGTCCCTTAACTCTTTTTTCTCGGGGAAAAGATAAAGTTCAACTAGCATAAACATAACATTCTTTTACTGTTAGGAATTCTGGTCAGGATTCCAGTGTTCCATTCTGAGAGGGTTATATAGCCTTTATTGCTGTTTCAAAACTCTTAGATAGCTTGGTTTATAGGAATGATGAAACAATCTGTAATCTTTCTAGTAATGAACCGTGTTAACTTTCTTCCCACAGAAGATATGGACTTGCAGCCTTTTGAAATTAGAACACTTTTTGTGTGCAATTCTATAATACAGTTGCCTACTTTGACACTTGTTATAGTTTTTCTGATTGTTTCTCTTATGTCTGTAGCCTTAGGTACAAGTAGACAAGGAATTTAAAGATCTTGTATATTCATGTGTCCTGTACTGGTTCTTTTCTTTTTGATTTTGTAGTCTTTCAGGAGAAACATGAAACCTGATGGGAGGTTTAGCAGCTGGCTTCTAAGGGTAGCATTTATTAAACCATTTACTGAACCCCTATGATGTACCTTGCACAGTTATAGGCAAATAGAGAAAGACCAATCCCTAAAGAGTCTGGCATTCTTACATTATTTTATTGAGTGTATGTAGACTGTAGCACAGGCATACAGGCCTAGACTACCTTATCTGACACAACTGGGGTATGTTTTGATTTCAGAATTTTTCAGATTTTAGAAAGGTGTTACTACATCTGTATTGTTTATTATCTTGTAGCATCCCTAACAAGGTTTGAGAAGCAGCCCATAATAAAACACATAGGTATTCTGCAGTGAAACGTGTATATTCACACCAAATGGCATAAGTAATGATGACTGTCAATAGCCTCACATTAAGATTGCTCAGGTTTTGCTACATAATAGGTTCTGTAAGTACTGTGGGTTTTCAGGTGTGTTTTGGATTTCAGTTTTGTGGATAAGATATTGTGTGCCTTTATTTAGCCAGAGGCTATAATTTTGGCAGCTTCGGCTCTGACATATATCCAAGTCCTGGAAAGAAAGCAGATGGTTGCCTTAGCCACACAAATAATTGTCATAAAACTCTTGCACTAAAATTTGTGCAGGGAATTCTCTAGAAGTGGCCCTTGGCCCATGATTCAGAGTTTATTGATTTACTTGCACACTGTTCTAATAATCTTGGTTACCTGATTTCTCAGAATACAACAGATGAGAAACAACATATTGGAAGAAAAGAAAGGCTCTTAGATGGAGGCAGGCTGCCACTGATTATAGCACAAATCACCATGAGAGAGGAGGTAGATCCTCTGGTATGGTTAGGTACTGTTTGATAATTGATGTTTATTATGATGACTGAGTCATGACTTATGTTCAAGTGTGTCAGTCTGTTTTGTTGAGGGACATCATCAAGTATTGGGCAATGTTTCTCAAACTGTGTTCCATGAACTGTTTATAAGTATTCTACAAATGTGGTCGATTAAGTTTTAGAAATACTAAAATTTATTAATTTTAGAAAATTAATAAATTAGAAATATAGGACAGCTTCCTTTTGGGAATTCATAATACACATTAGTATATTAAATGCTTTGCAACTTTTTATTTCAGTAAAAAGTTTACTCTAGTTTTTCTAAACTTATTTGACCGTGGAATTATTTTTTCTCCCTGTGGAACATGTCGCCATCTTTTGGAACAATTTGGGAAACTTTAATCTTCTATATTTTACAAATTTTTTTGTCAAAAGTTTTTAAAAAACAAAGCATTTAAAGAAAATTGCTTTTCTGAAATGTTCTACTTTTGATGATGCTAGACAGTGACACTTACAGTAACATCCATTGTTCTTAAGTCGTTTTTTAAAAGTTGTACTTTTAAAATGATTTTCATCTCCTGGTTTTGGACAGTTCATTCATTGTGGTATGTTTGCTTATAGGGCACTTGATGACATTAGTGAAAGCATCAAAGAGCTTCAGTTTTACCGAAATAACATCTTCAAGAAAAAAATAGATGAAAAGAAGAGGAAAATTATAGAAAATGGGGAAAATGAGAAGACCGTGAGTTGATGCCAGTTATCATGCTGCCACTACATCGTTATCTGGAGGCAACTTCTGGTGGTTTTTTTTTCTCACGCTGATGGCTTGGCAGAGCACCTTCGGTTAACTTGCATCTCCAGATTGATTACTCAAGCAGACAGCACACGAAATACTATTTTTCTCCTAATATGCTGTTTCCATTATGACACAGCAGCTCCTTTGTAAGTACCAGGTCATGTCCATCCCTTGGTACATATATGCATTTGCTTTTAAACCATTTCTTTTGTTTAAATAAATAAATAAGTAAATAAAGCTAGTTCTATTGAAATGCAAACCTTTTTGTACCATCTATTCTTTAGTAGTTTAATTATTGGGAAAAGATGGCTTTTTCTTTTTTAAGTGATATGGCTAATGTTTAAACTCTTGTAATGCAATTAGGAATCGGTTAATAAGTTCATGTCAAACAGGAAGTGAATATGTTTTGCTTTAGAATAACCGCAGATAAGTTTAAAGAAGCAGATTTGGGCTCGTTGTTAGAGTTATTGAATTAACAGCACTGGACTAGGCTACTCTGCTACATTCAGGAAATTCAATTCAGACGGATTCTGTAACTAAGGTTTATTGCAAGTAATAATTAGGGCTTATTTATATGCACAGCAGTGACTGCTTGGTTTACAGAATGTAAATAGCTTGCTGCCCTAGTTCTAATGGTCAGTAAGTAGCTGAGAAAGGATTTCAATTCGAACATACTAATTCCTAAGTTTACGTATTCTAGACCACAGTACTAAGGTGATTTCCTAGCCAGAGTGTGCAATAGAATCATCTGTAGAACACATCTCATTGCTTTGTGCACCTCATTCTGACAAATTCCCCTTGAAGACAAATCAGAATTGGGAAAGGCCCACAGGTTACTTTCCTTTCCTTGAGAACCACTAGGTGAGAAGACTTCTGTGGTGATGTCAAATTACATTTCATATTACAGATATGAACATAGTAGCGTGATCCTGATGTGTGATAGTTACAGATAGATCACTAGCTAGTAGATCAGAATAACCCCATAATATTTTCATTTGAGTAACATTTTAACATGTACTAAGTTGTGTTACCTACACTACAGCTGTATCAGTGGAGAGAGGGATTGTAGTGTAACTTTTTCCAAATGAGTGAATTAAGACTGAAATTCATGAGTCTACTAAGAATGAATTTATGAAAACATAAGTCTGCTGATCTTTTTGACCACTTCTTTCTGGAATGGCATGGGTTTTAGCTTATGCACCAACTTCAGTGGCTTGGAAGGCAGGATTGGGTAGTACAGTTGACCGTTGGACAACACAGGTTTGAACTGCAGAGGTCTACTTACATGCAGATTTTCTTCTGCTTCTGCCACTCCGGGGACAGCAAGACCAACCCCTCCCCTTTCTCCTTCTCAGTCCACTAATGTAAAGATCATGAGGATGAAAACCTTTATGATGATCCACTTCCACTTAATGAACAGTAAATTTATTTTCTCTCCCTTAAGATTTTCTTAACTTTCTTTTCTGAGAGCTTACTTTATTGTAAGAATATAACATATATATTGTTCCTGATGTTTGTATAAAAAATATATTATCTCTTACATATAACATACAAAATCTATGTTAATTGACTTTATATTATCAGTAAGGCTTCTGGTCAGTAGTAGGCTATTAGTAGTTAAGTTTTGCGGGAGTCAAAAATTATATACAGATTTTTGGTTGCACAAGGGTTTGACACCCCTAACCCCCGTGTTGTTCAAGGTTCAACTGTAGTTAAGAACAGGGCTCTTGAATCAAACTCTTAATTCAAGTTCAGGCCCCTGACATACTGAGTGACTTTGGCAAGTTGCTTTTCTAAGTCTCAGTTTCCATATCTGTAAAATGAGGTTAATAACGTTACTTAATGAATTGTTAGAATTAATTTAAATGCTATTCATACAGTTCTGAGCTCAGCACAGTGAGCATCGTGTAATGATAGCTAATGAATATTGATAATAAAGGGTACTATGATTAGTTATGAGGCTGGAGGCATTATCTTAAATCAGCGTTCACTTAATGCCTATGACTGCCTACATTGTGCTGAGGACTGTAGTAAACTTCACTAATAGTGTGACCTTGACTTGGTTTAGTGTTTCCAACTAAATTTGGCAAAAGGGTCTTTGCCCTTACTTGGCTTTCAGGAATGTTAAATTCTAATGTGATGATAGATAAGAAAACACTGGGCTTAAGAAGGGTTCGTAGGAACCAGATACTGCTATTAATGAATGCCTCAAGGTTTCTTCCACACAACTGGCTGGTTTATTCACCTGTTTAACTGTTCAAGCCAGTTTAAAAATTTTTAACTCCTGGTGTTACTGCTTTAATGCTGTCTTCTGTATCTTAATTGTGTAGCTAATTCTATTGTCCTTTAGTGGAGCTTGTGTTGAATTTTAATAAAATAACTGGTAGCCTGTGAGTTAAGCAAAACCAGTCTAGTGCAGGTATATATGAAGACATGCTGGTTCAGTGATTAGTTCATTATTTTTAAGTATTTTTAAGTTAAATTTAAATTTGTAGTGCTGGTATTTAGGATTTCACAGGGGATTCCTGAAGCTATGAAGTAATTTCTGTGAAATGAACTGCAGTGCAAATTGGTTTAAATAGAACTACAGCTTGAAAAATGATCAGTATATTTGCTTAGTAGAGCTTGCCATTCTAGTGCTCTTGGGGGGCCTCTCATTTGCTGGTTCGTTCGGTGCAGTAATTGTCCTGCAAGCTATGTTCTTAGGATCGTCCAGGTGTATTTCCCCCTATTAAACTCAAGGTGAATGAATCAGTACAGATGCATTTTGACTTACAGTGGGGTTACATCCCAACAAACCCATTGTAAGTTGAAACTATTAAGTAAAAAATGCATTTAATAAATTTAGCCTACCAAACATGTTAGCCTAGCCTACCTTAAATGTACTCAGATCACTTACATTAGCCTATAGTTGGGCAAAGTCATCTTAACAGAAAGCCTATTTTATAATAAAGTGTTGAATATACCATGTAACTTAATACTGTAGAGAAGGTGAAAAGCAGAACGGTTGTATGGGTAGTCGAAGTACGATTGAAATAGTATGAGCAGACTCTAGCGCTCTCGCCAAGACACTGAACAGCAGTGCTGCTGCCTCCTGCACCCAGAGTGTTTGCTATTACCTGACCTAGAACATCTGGAGCCCATAGATCCTAAAGAGCAGCTTTTTGAGGAATGCAGGGCTGTCGTGGATACTTAACTTCCCTGGTTCCAGAGAGATTTTGTGGATCTGAGGACAGACTCCAGTAACTACCTACCTATTAGAGTCATGCAATGGAACAACTTCATCCAAGCTCTTGGAAAGACAAAGACAACTTTGTACAATGCCCTGTTGAAACACTCAAGTGAGAAGAAAGGAAGCTTCTCACGCTAGAAGAAATCCTATTCTACCAGCCTGATATATTGTGCCTCCAAGAGGTAGAACAGTATTTTGAAACCTTCCAACCACTCCTCAGGAGGCTGGGCTATCAAGGCACATTTTTTTTCCCCCAAGCCCTGGTCATCTTGTCTAGGTATAGAATACAACAGTGGACCAGACAGCTGTGCTTAATTTTTCCTCCAAAACCAAATCAGGCTAGTGAACAGTGCCAATATTAGGCTGATGGCCATGACATTGAAAACTAATCAGGTGGCCATTGCACAGTTCCTAGAGTGCAAGGAGTCAGACCAACAGTTCTGCATCGGTGTCACCCATGTAAAAGCACGCACTGGCTGGGCGTGATTTTGATCAGCTCAAGGCTGTGACCTTCTTCAGAACCTGCAAAATGTCACTCAAGGGCCAAGATTCCCCTTGTTGTTTGAGGGGACTTCAATGCAGAACCAACACAAGAGGCCTAGAAACACTTTGCTTCCTCCAGCCTCAACCTGAACAGTGCCTACAATCCCCTGAGTGCTGGTGGGCAGTCAGAACCCCCATATACTACCAGGAAGATCTGGACCCCAGGGGAGGGCAGGCACACCCTCTGGTATTCTAAGCATGCTCTAAATGTAAGGTCAGCTCTTGATCTGCTCACCAAAGAACAGATTGGATCCAACTGGCTACCATCTTTCAGACCACTGGTATCTGGTGTGTGACTTCAGCTTTAATGAGGAATCTGATGGACTTACATAAACACTTGTTTTTGTCTTTTTAATCACAAGAGTCTTAACCAGGGATGTTTCAGGAAACTGAAATAGGATAAGAAGTTGCCTAACGAAGGATAGAAACATGGGAAGTTTTTGTCATTTCATTTTTTATATTTCTAGCATGCCCTTGGGAAAGGATCCCATTAGTTTACAAATCTATAGCAAAAAGGTTTTTGCTTTTGCACTCCAGTTCTGGCGTGTATTGTTTTATTTTCCTTAGCATTACATTTTGATTGTTTAAGGGCATTAAATTGGCTTGTTTTAGCTGGGCACAGTGGCTCATGCCTGTAATTCCAGCACTGTGAGAGGCTGAGGCGGGAGGACTGCTTGAGGCCAGGAGTTTTAGACCAACCTGGGCCACATAGCAAGAGCTTGTCTCTATTTCTTAAATACATAAATAATTAAGAAAAAATGGCTAATTTTGAAGGTTTTTCAGTTTGAGGATGCTATAAAAACTCAGAATTGCTTGAATCCTCCATAATTAATCAGTATATAGGAGCAGTTTCTCTAGACAGCATGTCAAGGTATTTGTGAGTTAAAGAAATGTCAACAAGGCTAGGCGTGGTGGCTCACGCCTGTAATCTCAGCACTTTGGGAGGCCAAGACAGGAGGATCACGAGGTCAAGAGATTGAGACCATCCTGGCCAACACGGTGAAACCCCGTCTGTACTAAAAATACAAAAAATTAGCTGGACGTGGTGGTGCAGGCCTGTAGTCCCAGCTACTCGGGAGACTGAGGCAGGAGAATCACTTGAACCTGGGAGGTGGAGGTTGCAGTGGGCCAAGATGGAGCCACTGCACTCCAGCCTGGTGACAGAGCAAGACTCCATCTCAAAAAAAAAAAAAAAAAAAAAAAAGTCAACAACATACGCATGGAGATATTTTTTTAAAAAATTCACATAAAATTAAGTAACAAATTATAGCATTGTGAACATTTTAGAACCATGCAAGACACAAATTATGGAGAAAGTAGTTTACGGTAATTTTCTTAAAGCTTTAAAATATTTTCATTTGGGCTTTAATAAAATGTGTACAAAAGAACTATTTAGCCTGGAGGGGGTTTTGTTTGTTATGTAGGTGTAAGTAAGTATCAGGTCTCCTTCATACATTATAAATAATCTTTGCTGTGCCTCCATGTTCCCCATTATTGTATTTCTGGAAGAGATTCCAATTAGTTTTCAATTATTTAAATGCTAGTAGTATCTAAGCTTTTTAACTGGAATAATATTGGTATACACTTGAGGTCACTCAGCGTCATCATTATTGGAATGTGCTTCTCACAATAGGTTATTTACGAGCTGAATGTGGTAGTGGCTAAGAAAGTCAGTAGGACTACTTTTCAGTGATGGGAAACTTTCTGGAAAGCCTGTTAATGGACTGTCATTGACATTTCCTAAGATAGCGAGATACTGTGGTTCAAAACATCTACAAAAGAGAATGTAAAAATTAGAAAGGTAACGTCGAATTCTCTCCCATTGGTAATAAAAGTAGTAAAGATAACAGTTGAAGCCTCTTTCAAACAAAATTACCTGTTGGTATTAAATTGATAAATATTTTAACCCATGAGTCATAAATACTTAAAATTAATAAATGGTCTTTTAAAGCTAAAAAAAAAAAAAAAAACAGAAAAGTTGTAAGTCAAACTGTTTGTAAGTTGGGGACCATATATCCTTTCCTGATAGTCTCAAGTCAGTGTTCTTTGAGTGCTCTTAGCCATGGTACTGAGTATGTGGGCAAGAAAGATCTCCATTTTTTAGCAGTTTAGCCATAGGAGAGGAGAATGAATCCTGAGACACCTGTGTTTTCTCATTTACAAAACAATATATCTCTGTTAAGAAACCAGCTTACAAATTTAGAGGGAAATTGATAGTTTGCTTTGCGTGAAGTGCTGTTCTTGTATGTGTATGCCTTGAAGAACAAATAATAGTCGTAATGTTCAAGTGCAGTTTTGTCATATTGATTGCTTTGTAGTAGTGCATCAATGTCCCAGGTTCACTCAAACGCTGTAACATTTTGAAAAATTAATAAGTAGCAGGGACAATGGAAAATTGGTTGTTGCAAGGATAAGCCTTATGTAGCAGATTGATGACGGCAAAAACTGTTATGTTTCATATCTGCTTATGAGGACAAAGGCTGTTATGTTCCATATCTGCTGATGAGGACAAAAGCTATTATGCTAGATATCTATTGATAAATACAGTCATCCCTTGGTATCCATGGGGGATTGGTTCCAGGACCTCCTGCAGATACCCAAATCCATGGATGCTTAATTCCTTGATATAAAATGGTATAGTATTTACATAAAACCTAAGCACATAGTCCTGGATACTTTAAATCATTTCTAGATTAGTTATTGTATAATAACGAATACAATATAAATGCTATGTAAATAGTTGTGTTAGTGCATTGTTTAGGGAATAATGACAAGGAGAAAAGTCTGTACATGTTCAGTACAGACACAATTTTTTAGAAAAATATTTTCGATCCACAAATGGTTGAAGCCACGGATGTGGAACCTGCAGGTATAGAGGGCCAGCTCTATGCTATATGTCTATTGTGAAAATTAGTTGAGTTTTAATTATTTGAACAAAGCATTTAATTTTATGTGGCTCATAGTGAAGTATAGATAGCCATGGTGGTAACATAAATGAAGAATTCTTCTCTGGTCAAGCATTTTCTATTGTGTAAAGGACGGCTGTGGCTTCAAGATTTCTTCATCTCTATAAAAGCAACCCCCAAAATTAACTGGGCATAGTGCGCTTGTAGTCCCAGCTATCAGGAGGCTGAGGTGAGAGGATCACTTGAGCCTGGGAGGCTGTGGCGAGAAGATTTCCCGAGCCCAGGAGGTCAAGGCTTCAGTGAGACATGATTGCACTGCTGCACTCCAGCTTGGGTAATAGAGTGAGACATTGTTCCCAAGAAAAAAAAAATCGTGGGAGGATTTTAAGTTTTCGTTCCACTAGAACACAAGCATTTCACAGTTGACATGTCAAGTTGAATGCACAGGACCTAAGACAACTTGGTCTTCAGGGTAATTTAATCAGTTTAGCAATTTAATCACCCAGGTTATACCACTGGCTAGGCTACAGCAAACAAGTCTGTGGAGCAGGTGGTCCAAGAGTGTGGAGCAAAATATGTTATTGTACAAATGAAAGCATACCATGAGCAGCCTGCAGAATCCTTGGGGATCCAGGATAAGAAACATGATTTTGGTTATATAACAGTGTAACTGTACTTAATGCGACTGCACTGTACCCTTAAAAATGACAAAAGGGTAAATTTATGTGATGTGTATTTTGTCACACACACACCCATACATGTGCACACACAAAGATGCATAATTTTCCATGATCCATTTTCAGAATGATTCTGTTTTAGGACCAATATGTAATGGGACCAGGTTGGAGGAACTGATCTCTGAGACCCTTGCTTGTGCCCTTAGGAAGAGTAAATTCCTTTTGTTTCTCAACGTGGAGTAACAGGAAGTGGACAATTTAGGGAGGTGCTTTCTTTTATGTCATCATCAAAGTGGTATAAGGAATTGCAGTTTTGGTTTACAGATAAAGGAAATTTAACAATACCTTTTAGGAGCATCTTGCCTTCTTACCTCCATATTTAGTCATGAAATGGGGAAAGAGATGCTGCTGAATTCTGAGTTAGGTGTACTCCTTGGATAATCTAAATTAATAGGCCCATGTAGATTGCCTTGGAACCTAGCCCTGTTTTGTTTCTGTGGAAAAACTTCCATTTTGAATTTCACTTAAACAGCTTACAATTCATACTGAGCAATAGAATTGTTAAATTAGAGACTGCATGCAGTTTTATACTTTCAGTCATCTTGGTTACACATCTTTCTCCAAATCATTTGTTTTTCATATGCATTTTCTTATCTTTACCATCCTATGGGCTCTAAGATACCTTGTTACATCATTCTACCTTATTCTGTCATCAAATTTTTTTGTGAAAATAGATTGACATGATAGCTCAATAATTTTGTTTATAAGTAACAGCTAGCAGACAATTTCAGAATTGAAGGATAGCATAGATCTTAAGGACACTATGAAGAAAAATCTTAGCCTCACTAAAGTGGAATAGGAGCAAAGGTTGCCACTGTTCAGCTATTTTTGTTGAAATATAAGCTTCCAGAAATGTGGGACTGGCATTATATGCCTCAGGGCCAACTCTTCCTAGAAAACCTTGTTCCTTCTTTAGGCCATCAGTATTTGTTTTACACAGCTTTGGGTTTTATGAATAGTGCTTTTTTTAAACATTATTTGGGTACTCTCTAGAAGTTGCCAACTTTTATTTTGCCAAATAAGGATGTTAAAAGCACCACCTGCTATCCCCATCATTTCATAAAAGACATTTTAAAACACACAAAGGACAGAACTTCATAATAAAGGACAGGCACTTTAAATTGAATACATTTAGTGTGAAATATTCAGCTATGTCTGTATTTTCTACATAAAAATCCAATAATGTTCTTTAAATTGATTTAAAAACACTCAGATTTCATCTGGGGCATATATCAGTCCCTCTGTTGGAGTTTGGGACTCAGTGGTGTATTTATGCCTGGGACTTTTGTCTGAAACCCTCTCTTAACGGCAGCAGAAGAGAGAGAGAAATGACATGCTATACTACTAAAATTATTCTTGTTTTGCAAGTTGTTAAATGAAAGCACTTCAGAAATATTGAAAAAAGCCTTGTAGAATCTAGTTTAATAAGATGATACAGTCTGTTAATGATCAGAGCATAAATGAAGATGTCTTGTTCACGTGTTTCACACTACTGCTGACTTTATACAGTCTTTATAGGAATGCTGCAGATTCTTTGGTTATTTGACCTTTGGTTTTCCACTTTTGATGTTCTGAAGTGGTTAATTGTGACCTTTAGCCATGAAGCCTGATGTTCAAACATTGCTTTTCTGAGGATGGATGGGGAGAAGGGACAGGTATGAGTTTTAAAATTATTTTAGAGTTTCAGATATTATCTGAAAATTTTATAAATAATTTTATTTGAATTAAATCCTAAATCTAGTTTAGGTTTGAATAATATAGGTATGTGTTTCCTGTGGTTAATACCAGTTTTTGAGAAAAGCATGACATATGCTTTTATACACTGAGTTACTGAAAGACCCTTGGAAATGGGATGTTATAGACAATTGATTTTTAAAAAGTTCTAAAGTTATATGGGAGAATGGTCCATGCTTTGGAAATTTCTTCTTTGAAAATATATAGCTTAAACTACTTAAATAGGATAGCACACACCCAAATTTCTGCAGAATTAAATTAGATATTATTTGATAGAAAATTTATGATTAGGAATTCATTGTTTTACTTAATTCATATTTATTGAGGATTTTAGTTAGTGTTGAGTATTGTTGTAAAACTTAGGGATCTAGCAAGGACTTAGACATATCCCTGCCCTCACAGAGTTTATGTTCTAATGAGCAAGCTAGACAATACATAAGTAAATAAAGAATTGTGATATTAAACAGAAAGATGTTGTGGTAAAGACAAATGATGGCGGGTGCTGAGGAGGAGAAAGGCTACTTTAAAATGGATGGTTAGTGCAGGTGCCTTGATTAGGTGACAGTGTAGTCCAGGAACATGGGAAGAAGGCTGTAGGAGGCGCAGAGAACAATGGCCTTGTGGTAGCAAATAACTTAGTGTATTCTTGGAACTATCAGAAAATCAACTTGGATGAAGCATGGTGAACTAAGAAAGGGGATACACTAGGCTCTAATAGGGCCCTAGTAAGTGTTTGCTTAGTGAATGAGTAAATAGATGAGTGAAAGATTTTTATGGTCTTAATTCTGGCCAATCCTTATTGCAGATAAGAGTAATGATGAATCAGGGATAGATATCATTGAGGGTGATGGGCCAACTGGTCAACTCAGAGACTGTAAAGCAGCATCTCAGTTGGTGCCTAAATTTTAGGCTTCATGCTACAGGCCCAGAAGTTTGATTTCAGTATATCAACAGTGGTCTAATCCCTTGAGGAGGAACTTATTCCAACCAAGCACACAGGGACTGATGTATTAATTCAGAATGCTGATCAATTTACATTGAGATCTTCTTTTCTAACGACCAAAATACCATATTAATGTATGTTGTAGGGAGCATTCCTTTTTCCAGCGTGAGGGCACTGGCAAATTGAATTAGTAACCAGAAGCTCACTCAGTAAATTTAGAAGAGGATCAAGATCTTTGGGAGTATTTTGTGTGGGTCAAGTTGATGCTGGATGAAATATCCTTGCTCCACAGTGAAGAATAATATTACAAGTGCATGTATTTTTTTTGTAGGTCACTTTTTTCTGATCATAAAATAACAGGTGAATACCTTAGAAAATAACAATTCTGTACAGAGAAGACCATTGTTAATATTTGTAGTTCTCTACATCAAGATCATGAAGATAATCTATGTAAACTTTTATTTGCTTTTTATTTTACTTTTGCTTTTCATGTTTTGGTTTTAATACATCTGAAGTCCACATTCGGAGATTATGTGAGGTAAGGATCCAATTTAATATTTTCCAGGGAGTATACCAATTTTCCTATCACCATTTCCAAAATATTTATCCTTTCTCCACTGGCTTGTGATATGACCTGTATCATACACCAGGTTTTCATATGGGTCTCTTTCTCAGCTTTTAAATTCTATTCCATTAGTCTTTGATCATATGCAATTGTTTTTCTTATTGTGATTTTTGTACTGTGCCTTAATTTTTTAATAATGCCTTTTAGTTGGATGGTAATTATCCTGGGTTTTCTATGTGGATTATCAGGTCAGCTTCAAATAATGAACACCCTCTCTTCTCTTCCAATTGTTTTACTTGTTTCTTCTTCTTGTCTTATATTAGCCAGAATGTCATATAGTATATTGACCAGTAGCTATGGTGGTGGCGTTTTTATCTTATTGGACTTAAAAAGAAATACATCAAAAGTTTCTCCATTAATGATGATGTTTGCTATAGGGCATTGATAGATAGCCTTCAAAAAGTTAAGAAAGTTCTTTTCTTTCTAGTCTTCAAGGTTAAAAAGTTTTTAAAGATCTTAATTGAATGTGAACTTTATCAAATGCCTTTCTTATGTCTATTGAGATAATCATGTATTTTCTTCTTTAATACATTCCTGTGGTGAAATATGTTAATAAGTTTTCTGATATTAAATTATCTTTGCATTTCTAGAATAAAACCTAATAAGTATTATTAGGGTTATTTTTCTCAAACACCTGATTGGATTCTGTTAGCTCATATTTTATTGAGTGGATTTCCTTCTATGTTTGTTAGTGAAATTGGCCTATAATTTTCTTTGCTGTCCTCATCTGATAGTTTTAAAGATTGTACCAAACTGAAAAATGAATTGGGTAGTTTCCACAATTTTTCTAATTTTGGCTAAATTTTATATAACATAGAAATGCTCTGTTTCAGTTCAGTGGGACACCCTGTAAGATCATTGGGTAACACTATTTCAGTTTTTCATGGTTGTCTATTCAAGTTTCCTATTTTATGTTATGCTAATTTTATTGGTAATATAATTTTTCATTCTATTTATTGTAGGTTTTCAAAAATATTTGGCTATAGGTGTTTTATAATAAAACTACTTTTAAAGTCTTTATTATAGCTATAATTTGTTCCCTTATTTATTTTGTTTGCTTGCATTCTATTGTTATTTTGTTAAACTGTTATTTCCTGAGGTTATCAACAATAGTCTTTTTCTAGAAGAAGCTTCTGATAGTATTAACCTTTTTTTTTCTATACCGTTCCATTATTTTTTCTTGGTTTCTACCTTTTATTATTTTCTTTCTTCCTGTTTCTTTGGGTGTACTCTGTCTCTTGCTTATGTCTTCAGTTGTGCTTATTTTTCAGCTTTTCCTATTTTCTAATACATGTATTGAGAACCAATAATTTCCCTCTAACAAACTTGTCCTAATGAGTGTACACATAGAGCACTGTCTCCACCAAGTTGAAGATAAACCTTCTTTTCAGGCACATGATAAAGAATTATAACAAATATTAGTAAATTGGAATCATTCAATGTTATGAGAACAATGCAATTAAGCTATGACTCAACAATTAAAGAGTAACTTGAAAAATTTTATATGGTTTCAAATAAAATTCAGGTCACAAAACAATTTAAATAGAAATTAGAAAATATTTCAAACTGAAAGATCATGGAAATGCTACAGATAAAAACTTTTAGGGTGCAGCTAAACAGGACTTCGAGGGAAAATTATAGCTATAAATCCTGTATTAGGAAGGAATAAAAGTGAAGAGAATGTTAAAGTCATAGCAAAAATTAATGAAATAGAAAATGAATATTCAGTAGAGGGTGTTCAGTAGAGAATAGCAAGTAAGCTAAAAGGAATAATAAAACTGAAACTTTTGGCAAGATGGCTGAAGGAAAAAGAAGACGTATAACCAGTATCAAGAATGAAAAAGACTCAAGTGCTGCAAACAGGGAAAAGATAAGAAAATAATGTGAACAACACATAACATCCGGCTATAGTATGACAACCATTTCATACCTATCCCAATGTCAAAAATCAAAGGTCTGACAGTACCAAGAATTGGAGAGGATGTGAATCAGCCATATCAGACAGTTAGTTGGTGGGAATGTACATTGGTGCCGCCATTTTATGAGACAGTTTGGCATGATCTTAATAGTTAACCATTTGTATGTTCATCTGCCAAGCACGTCCACCTCTAGGTTCAGGAGAAACTTGAAAATATATGCTAGGAGAAATGTACAAAAAGTTCATAGCAGCATTATTTGATAAAGCAGAAACCTGGAAATGATTCAGATGCCCATGGACAAGGGAATGGATAAAGCACATTCTCAAGTGAATATTATATGGCTACAAAATGATTGAACAACATCTATATTCAAAAATTCTGCTACATAAAATTGAGTGAAATAATTAAGTTCCAAAAGGTCAAATATGCTTAATATTCAAAGAGCAACTTAAACTAAGCTACATACTCTTCAGAAAAATATCTATATCTGTGTGCATATCTATTATTTATAGAGAGACATATAGATATATGATGAGTGATTACAAGATTCAGGAAATATTTTGCATGTGGGAGGTGGAGGATGGGATGGAGGGAAGATCACATAGCTGTATAAAAATGTCAGTTTTCTAGTTCCTATATTGGGTTCACAGTGTTTATTATTAAAAAAAAAAAAGATGGCTTGTATGAACCAATGATCAGAGTGTTACAAAGCAAGGATTTTGAGGCTGGGCATAGTGGCTCACGCCTGTAATCTCAGCACTTTGGGAGGCCGAGGCAGTCGGATCACCTGAGTTCAGGAGTTTGAGACCAGCCTGGCCAACATGGCGAAACCCCATCTCTACTAAAAGTAGAAAAATTAGCTGGGTGTGGTGGTGCGTGCCTGTAATCCCAGCTACTCGGGAGGCTGAGGTAGGAGAATTTTTGAACCTAGGAGGTGGAGGTTGCAGTGAGCCGTGATTGGGCCACTGCATTCCAGCCTGGGAGACAGAGCAAGACTCCATCTCAAAAAAGAAAAAAAAAAAAAGGATTTTGACCCAATAAATATTAAAACATCAAATTAACATATTAACATTCTAAGGGAGAAAAATCGTATGATCATCTTCATGGATGCAGGAAATCATTTGTTAGACGTCACCATCCATTCGTGACTAAAGGAAAAAGCAAACAAATTAGGAATACAAGGCAATTTACTTAAACCTGGCAAGGGGTATCTACAGACAACAATACTGCAGACATCAAACATCATTCTTAATGATGCAAGTTCATAGCATTCCCAAGACTGAGGAACTTGTCAAGGATGGCTACTACCAATTCTGTTGGTCATCATACTGGAGTTAGCCCACATAGTCAATAAAGAAATTAAAGATATTAGGACTGGGGCAAGTAATAAAACTCCTCCATAGATGATTTGATTATCTACATGGAACATCCAAAAGAACTGTATACATATTTACATTTTTTTTTTTTTTTCTCAGACAGGGTCTTGCTCTGTTGCCCAGGCTGGAGTGGAGTGGCACAAACATGGCCTCACTACAGCCTCCATCTCTTGGGCTCAAGCGATCCTCCTGCCTCAGCCTCCAGAGTACCTGGGACCACAGGCACACCACTATGCTTGACAAATTTTTTAATTTTTTGTAGAGATGGGGTCTTGGCGTGTTGCCCAGACTGAAAATATTTTTTAGAAATAAGAATTTGGCAAGTTAGTTGAATATGAAAATCATTACTGACCATCCTCAACCTACAATGGTTTGACTTAGTTTTTTGACATTATAATGGGTTTATTGTGGTATTAAATGCATTTTTGACTCATGATATTTTCACATTACTTTAGGTTTATCAGGACATAACCCCATTGTAATTCAATAGTATGTAATCTGCATACAAAAATCAGTTGCATTTTAATATACCAGCAGATATCAGTTAAAAATGAAAATTTAAAAATATACCATTTACAATAGCATAGAAAAATATGAGATACATAGATAGGAATGAATTTAAAAAGCTGTACACACATGTACACATGAGCACATAGCATAATGGAAATGACTGATAAATTCAGTTGCATTAATATGAAGAATTTCTTTTCTCTAAATCTACCATAAAGACACAAGTCACAAACTAGGCGAAGATAATTGCAAATTATATAATTGACAAAAACTCATACCTAATATACAAAAATATTTCCTACAAAAAAAAACGAAAAAAGAAATCCAATAGACAAATGAAGAAAGCATGAGAACAAGTACTTCATAAAAGAGAAACTTGAATGTCCAATAAACAGGAAAAAAATGTTCACCTCATTATTAATCAGGAAATTCATATTAAACTACAATAAGAAATTTATATTCCCACCACATTGGCAAATATAAAGTGTGATCATACCTGGGGTTAAGAATGTGAGTCTTAAGCACTTACTGGTGAGAATGTAAATTGGTTCAACTACTTCGGAGACTCACGTGACATTACTTAGTAAATTTAAATGTGTGTTCATCCTAAGATCCAGTGGTTCTACTTCTAGATATTTAAAGTAGAGAAAATCTTACACATATGCACAAGAAGACAAGTGTGAGGATATTCATAACAGTCCTACATGAAAATAACTCCAGTATTTATCATCAGTAGAATTCATAATTAATTGTGTTTATATGATACTGCAATAAAAAGATCTGCAGCTACATGCAGCAACATGGATGACTTTTACAGACAATTGTGCAAAATAAGCAGGCTGCAAAAGAATAATACCATATGATTTCATTTAAATAAAATTAAAAGACCTGACAAAGCTAAGCAATGTGTTTTTAGGGTGTACATAAGTGGAATGATTATGAAGGAAGGGCATCAAAATCAGGATAGTGGCTTACCTTCGTGAGGGAGGAAGGGTATGTGATTGGAAGAGGGCTATGCAGGAAGTTTCTAAGGTTTTGGCAATATTTCCTTCACACTAAAAATGTGTTTACCCATGTGTTTGCTTTATTATCTTTATCCTTTAAAATACACATGTGTTTTATTTCCATAGTTATTTATTTTACAATAAAAATACAATAACATAGTCCCAGCTACTTGGGAAGCTGAGGCAGGAGGATCATTTGAACACTGGAATTCAAGGTCAGCCTGGACAGTATAGCAAGACCCTGTCTCTAAAAAATAAATAATAAATTTAAAAGTTTCAATGTGATAATGTATGAAGAACTTAACAACGGCATGGCGCATAGAACATACTCAATAAATGTTTATTATTGTTTTGTTATTAATATCAAAATGTTTCCCTCTACATCTAGTTATAGCTGCAGCCCATACATTTTTCAGGTACTGCTTTTATTTAGTTTGAAGTCTTTAACAAATTTCCCTCCTACTCTAAAACAAGTATTATTTAGTAGACTATTTTAGTTTTCAGGCGTATAGGATTGTTCAATCGATCTCTCTCTTTGTCTTATAATACTGCTGCATTAGACTCAGAAGATGTAGTCTGTATGAAGGTAATTTTTCTGACAGTTATTGAATAAATTTATTTGTAGCTTGAAAAAAGAAAATGTACTTAGATGAATAAAAAATACCTTTGTTGAAATTCCTGCAGTGAAAATAATTTTGGTACTGCAGTTCTGTAACTCTCTACTCTTCCTTTCTCTATTACAGTCTTGATTTTAATATCTCGATATTTGAAAACCCAAGCCTTCTTAGTATTGTAGCCATAATGATATTACAGAATAGACTATGATTTTGTGTTTATATGTATTGTTTAGTATTAATTTATGCTACCACCAGCAGTGTAAGAGAGTGCCTGTTTCCTTGTCCCCTGGTGAGCAGCACTGGATAATATTTAAAAATAATTTTTGGCAATTGGATTTTTTTTCTGTTACATTTATTCCTTTACTTGTTAGTAAACTTTAATTTCTTGAATATATATATATATTGTCCAATTTTCATTCTATGTGAATATTTATGTCCTTTACTAATTTTCTATTGTGAGAGTAGTGTTTTTGGTTTATTTTTTCAAAAATTAATTTGTAAAACCAGTTTATATATTTAGGGTGGTATCATTCCTTGTTGCAATTTTCTTCTTCCCAGTTTGGAACTGGCTTTAAAATTTCCACTTATTCTTTTTTACCTATCGTCTTTTCTTCCTCTTCTTCAGGAGCAAATATTCCCAGCCTTTTCTTCTTATTTCATGTAGAGCAGTTTAGTCTTCTTTTATTGCAGGGGGAAGATGGTCATTTGGCAGTGATGATGTGGCCCCGATTGCAGAATTGAGTTGGAGGCTGAAGCATGTGAGCTCTGATCCTTGCCAGTTCCGTAAGTCCACAAATAACACATCTATTTAGACAGCTTCCAGACAACAGATAGCTGTGAAATATAATCTCCTTTATGATACAGTAGTGATCCTAAATTTAAGTATGTCAAGCATTTATAACCTTCTGACTCCTTGCAAAATTTTATCTCAAGTGATTTCAATATACTGTGCATACTTTATCAGGCAATCCAAAGGAAAACATCTATCTGTAGTGAAAGCATAACACTGACGTTTGTCAAAGGTCAAAGATTCAGAGATTTAACTTATTAATCTATAAGCTGTTAGTATTTTTATACTGTGGTGGTAAAAAATTTGCAGGATTTTTAAAAACATGTTTTAGTTCCTACCAGGAGTTCCTAAGTACATTGTTTTTCTAGTAAAATCCAGTTCGTTCCACATTTTTGACTGAAAAAAGCCAAATCTTTACTTTTTGGGAAGAAAAGGTCCGTTTTTAAGGAGATCTAGTCCTAAAAATATCAAGGATAGAGGCCTAGGAAATATGTAAGCCTCCACAGACTTCCACACATTCCCCAAACTACTTAAGATGATCCCCAAATAGGACCAGCCCTAAATGAGCCCTGGAAATAGGGAAGAAGGCTATCTGTATGCCTCAGTACTAGGGACCGTCTACTTACTGTCACCAGGAGGAGTTACACTGAGAGGGGACATTAGAACTGGCCTGCAATGTCGCTTTTTCAAAACTATCGGCGGGTGCAGTGGCTCATGCCTGTAATCCCAGCCCTTTGGGAGGCGGAGGTAGGCAGATGGCTTGAGTCCAGGAGGTGGAGGCCAGCCTGGGAAACATGGTGAAACCCCATCTCTACAAAAAATAAAAAAATTTTGCCGGGTGTGGTGGTGTGCAACCGTAGTCCCAACTACTTGGGAGGCTGAGGTTGGAGGATCACTTGAACTTGGGAGGCAGAGGTTGCAGTGAGCCGAGATTGTGTCACTGCATTCCAGCCTGGGTGAGAGAGAGACACCCTATCTCAAAAAACAAAACGAAACAAAAAAACAAAAAAACAGATCCCTAAGAAATAAGTAGAAGAAATTATGGGAGAGCCTGATGATACCCCTTCATTTAGAGCAAGGGTGTCCAATCTTTTGGCTTTCCTGGGCCACATTGGAAGAAGAATTGTCTTGGGCCACACATAAAATACACTAATACTAATGTTAGCTGATGAGCTAAAAAAAAAAAAAAAAAATTGCAAAAAGTCTCATTATATTTTAAGAAAGTTTATGAATTTGTATTGGGCTGCATTCAACACCATTCTGGGCCACAGGTTGGACACATTTGATTTAGAGGGATGAGAGCTAGAGGTGGGGTGGGCTTGGGACAGAAAGTGAGCACTCTGTGCTATGAATCAACAGCATCTGAAGCAGTGGGCTGGGAGACCCCAGGGTAAGTATGGCCACATCAAGTAGTAGTCTGTGGCAATGGGGCTTCTGACATACCACTGGGCTTTTGCATGGTGCAGTGGCTAGTGGCCCAGAAACGAGAAGGGGTCACATAATAATTGCCACAGAACACTTATTTAACAAATGCTTAGGTAGCCTTTATTACCTCCCAGGGATTGTTTTAAATTATTGGTTCTTAACTGGAGGTGGTTTTGCCCCCCAGGGGACATTTGGAAGTGTCTGGAGATATTTTTGTTGGCACAACTGGGAGGAGACTGCTACTGGCATCTAGTACATTAGAGACCAAGGATTCTACTGAACATTCTAAAATGCACAGGTTAGTCCCCACAACAGATTATCAGTCCCCAAATACAGTGCCAAGATGACAAAGCCCTGCTTCAAATATTTAATAAATATTAACTTATTTAATCTTCATAGCAACCCTGTGAAAGCTGCTCATTTTTCAGGTAAGGAAATGGAGGCAGATAAGTAACTTGCCCAGTTCATATATCTGATGGAGACTCCAGGCCAAAGGGAAATATGCATGTTCGAAAAATGCAAACATTCTAGAGAAGAGTGGTTACATTACTACTAGCCTAAATAAAATTTAAGGTGAAATGATTTACAGACAGGGTAATTTTTTTAACAAAAAGGCAAAATTCACAATGAAAATAGTTATAAAACTTTGGATACTAAATAGTATAACCCTGAAATATATAAAACAAAATCTGTTACAATGTAAGGAGTAATTTAAATACAGTGCTAGCTTTTTTTTTTTTTTTTTTTTTTTGAGCTGGAGTCTTGCTCTGTCACCCAGGCTGGAGTGCTGTGGTGCGATGACTCACTGCAAGCTCCGCCTCCTGGGTTCATGTCATTCTCCTGCCTCAGCCTCCCGAGTAGCTGGGACTACAGGCGCCTGCCACCATGCCCAGCTAATTTTTTGTGTATTTTTAGTAGAGACGGGGTTTCACCGTGTTAGCCAGGATGGTCTCGATCTCTTGACCTTGCGATCCGCCTGCCTCAGCCTCCCAAAGTGCTAGGATTACAGGTGTGAGCCACCGCGCCTTGCCACAGTGCTAGCTTTTTAAGAATAGCTTTATTGAAGTATAATCAACATACAATAAACTGCACAAATTTGAAGTATAAAATTTCATACTTTTTTTTTGAGACGGAGTCTCGCACTCTCGCCTGGGCTAGAGTGCAGTGGTGCAATCTCGGATCACTGCAACCTCCGCCTCCCGGGTTCAAGCAATTCTCTTGCCTCAGCCTCCTGAGTAGCTGGGATTACATGCACCCCCCCCACCACACCCAGCTAATGTTTTGTATTTTTAGTAGAGACGGGATTTCACCATGTTGGCCAGGCTGGTCTCGAACTCCTGACCTCGTGATTCGCCCACCTCAATATATGTCTGTGCCTGTGAAATAATGCCACAGTTAACGTAATGAACATTTCCACCATTCCAAAAGTTTCCTCGTGCCTGTTTATAATCCCTCCTTCCACACACTTCATGCCCTTTTCCAATTCTGTCAACCAGTAATCTTCTTTCTGTCTTTATAGATGAGTTTGCATCTTCTAGAGTTTTATATAAGTGAAATTATGCAGCATATACTCTTGTTTTGTATGTATTCTTCCACTCAGCACATTTATTTTGTGATATCCATGTTTTTGCAAGTATCAACAGTTCATTCCTTTTTATTGCTAAGGAACATTTCATTGTATGGATATACCACAATTTGTATATTGATTTACCTTTTGATGGACATGTGGGTTGTTTCTATTTTTGGCTATTATAAATAAAGATGCTGTGAACATTCATGAACAAGTCTTTGTATGGACATATGTTTTTTTTTCTCTTGGAAGAATACCTACGAATGGAATGGCTGGGTTATATGGTGAGTATGAGTTTAACATTTCAGGAAACTGCTAAACTGTTTACTAAAGTTATTGTTCCATTTTATATTCTCACCAACTATGTGAGAGAATTCCAGTTACTCCATATCCTTGCCAACATTTAATATGCTTACTCATTAGGATTTTAGACATTTAAATAGGTGTATAGTGGTGTCTCATTGTAGTTTTAATTTGCATTTCCCTAATGCAAATGACTGATGATGTTGAGTATCTTTTCATGTATTTATTTGTTATCTGTATGTCTTCTTTGGTGATATGTCTGTCCAGATCTTTTGCTCATTTAAAAAATTGGGTGTATAATAGGGTTCTCCAGAGAAAAAGAATTGACGTGTGTGTGTGTGTGTGTGTGTGTGTGTGTGTGTGTGTGTGTATACAGAGAGGTACTTGTTTAAGGAATTGGCTCACATTATTGTGGGGGCTGGCAAGTCCAAAATCTGTAGGGCACACTGGCCACTGGAGTCCTTGGGAAGAGATGATGCAGTCTCAAGTCCAAAGGCTGGAGGTATAATTTCTTTTTCTTTGGGCAACCTCACTGTTTCCTCTTGAGACCAACACCTGATTGGAGGAGGTCTATCTACGTTATGGAGAGTCATCTGCTTTACTCAGAGTCTACTGATTTAAATGTTATTTACATCTAAAAAATACCTTTACAGCAACATCTAGACTACTGTTTGACCAAAAACCGAGTACAATGGCCTAGCCAAGTTAACACTCAAAAATTAACCATGACAGGTTGTTTGTTTTCTTACTGAATTTTGGAAGTTTTTATATTCTGGATTCTAGTCCTCTCTAAGATTTGTGATTAGCAAATCTTTTCTCCCAGCCTGGGTTGTATTTTCATTCTCTTAACAGTGCCTATCTAAGAGAATGTCTTAATTTTCATGAAGTCCAATTTATCATTTTTGTCTTTAATAGATCAGGCTTTTGGTGTCATATCCAAGAAATCATTGCCCAGCCAAAGGCATAAAAATTTCGTCCTTTTATTGCTCTACAAGTTTTACAGATTGAGGTTTTACTCTAGGTCTATAATCTATTTTGAGTTAATTTTTGTATATGGTGTGAGGTATGAATTGAAGTTCACTTTTTGCATATGGGTATTTAGTTCTTCCAGCACCATTTGTTGAAAAACAATAGTAGTTTTTTACAGATCAAGTATGCAAAAACACATATAAGTGTATAAATAACAGAATTAATAATATACCCTCATTTTAAGGCTAAGGATTCTTGAAAGATTTATGGAGCATTTATAAAAATTGACCTTATTAGCCATATATAAACTCTTGATTTGAGCCACATAACATAATAAAACTGGAAATTAATAATTAAGTGTAAACAACAAGAAGCATAGAAAACCTCCATGTCCTCATCTCATTCTAATATAGTCAAGAAAACCCGTTTAATCAAGGCAGCAGAACAGCTGCTGCCAATGGTCATTTCCTATTGGTTGGTATTGAGCCTTGGGTTATCTCCTCCAAACGTCTTGTCAGTAATTAATGCTAGCCTTGGTAAATGACATATATGGTAATCAGCCTGTACAAAATCTTAGCTAAATTACTGGGGCATGATGCCTTTGAGGAAATGTAATGTTTCCTAGGGACTGAATAGAATAAAAAATAGAATAAAAGCAAAAACAAGCAACCAACCCCCCTAAAATGTCAGAAGCAGTGTATACTTTATCTTACAGGTTTGCCAAAATTAGGGGTAACTCCCACTTTCTGGTCTTAGCATTACTTTGATCCCTTTAATCCCCTAGTATTTAGAGAATTCAGGGCACCAAGATAAATCAAAGAGTTTAATAAGTTTGATTCCCAATAAAAGGTGATGCTAAACAACATTTGGCCTCTAGCCCCATGGCTACCTCTAGCATATACAGAGTCTGTGTGCAAATTGCAAGGAGGCACACGTTCCTCTGGGCTGAAGCAACCTCACATTAGGCTTGGAAGACAGGATACATGAAACACATACCGAGCACAAACTGCAGAGTTGTATTTGTTGGCTTGGTCTAGCCCTCTCCCACTGTTTTAATTGTCCTAAAGCAGGGGTGTTTAATCTTTTGGCTTCTCTGGGCCACTTTCAAAGAAGAATTGTCTTGGGCCACACATAAAATACACTAACACTAATGATAGCTGAGGAGCTAAAAAAAAAATCACAAAAAAATCTTATAATGTTTTAAGAAAGTTTACAAATTTGTGTTGGGTCCCATTCAAAGCCATCCTGGGTCACATGTGGCCCACGGGCTGTGGATTGGACAAGCTTGTTCTAAAGAATGATGAGACTATGTCTTAGTCTGTGCAGGCTGCTATAACAAAATAGCATAGACTGGGTGGGTTATAAACAACAGAGATTTATTTCTCACAGTTCTAGAGGCTGGGAAGTCCAAGATCAAGGTGCTGTCAGACTTGGTGTCTGGCAGGGGCCCACTTCTTGCTGGTCCTCACATAGTGGAAGGAAGAACTAGCTCTCTGTGGTCTCTTTTATAAAAGCACTAATCCCCATCATGAATGTTCTACGTAATGGCAGGCAACTGTTTCAAATGAAGCAAGTGAAGACTTTTCTTGTCTTCTCATGGCAAACATATGGGTTCATGATGTCATCCTATCATAACCGGCTTTCCTTGTTTGGGAAATGAAGGTGGGGGGGTTGTTTTGTTTTAAATGTGTTTCTAATAAAAATGCCAGTACAGTGTTCAAAGAGGTTTTTGAGCAAGTGATTTTCAAGTGCAATTTTTTTTATCCTTCAGTGTTGAACATCTGGAAAAGAGACACATAGGCATTACTATAACTGAATAATAACAGACAACAATTGTAATCTGCTTATTTAATCTCTTTCTCTGAGAAAAGAAATATTAGATGATGAAGGTTGTCAGGATTTTTCTGAGGGTCTCCCCAAATACCGCTTTCCCCAAGTCAGTCTTGGGATAGTGATTAAATCAGATTAGATTAGATCAAGCTTATCCAGTTTTCTTGCCTCCTTGCTGAGAAAATTGCTTTTGATTTTCTCAACATTTCCTTTTTGAGAATAAGTTCTTTGCTTCATCTTTGCAACATGAAAGAGTGTTTTTGCCACAATAATCAGTGTGTTAAGGTGATTTCAATCATCTATTTCTAGAGAAGAATAAAAACTACATGTAGTTTCTAAATAACAAATTTCCTTACTTCTAGTTCTCAAGATTTCCAAAAAATTGGAATTTACTTTTCGCTAGGGCATTCCTTTATAATGGATAAAACGTTGTGATACACTGTGAGTTTATAAAAAACAAGAAACAGAAAAATATCTCAATTTTCAAGAATAATATATACAAACACAGAGGTTATAAAACTGATAAACTTCATTACAGACTATGTTTTGGTTTACAAAGCTATGTTTTGTATTAGGTATACATTTACTTACTGAATTGTTTCATTGGAAGAAATGTTAGAAATTGTTTAGTTTTGTCTTTATCAAAAGCATTCTTGAAATTAGACCTCAATATTTTGGAATCCTTGAGGACTAGAATTGAGGAAATTGCCATTTAAAAACTCTAAAGCAAGCCTACCTGGTTTTCAATTTCAGTCCTGCTGCAGATTAATTCTGTGACCTTGAACCAGTAAGTAACTTTTTCATGGCTCGGTTTCTTTACCTCTAAAACGGGAATAGCTCAGAGGTTGACAGAATATGCTGATGACTTAAATGTGTGTTTGAGAGTGTTGGGATGGAAGAGAAGGCTGGGGTGGGGTGGAGGGCAGGAAGGATGGGGGCGAGAAAGAGAGAGTTAAAGATATATTCAAGGTTTCCAGTAAATTAAAGTATCCTTTATGAAGTAGAGAAAAATAAAGATGAAGAGGTCTGGGAAGGAACATCAATTTGCTTTTGCACAGTTAAGTTTCAGTTGTCTAGTAGCCGCCATAAGGAGAGATATAGAATAGATAGTTGAAGCTACAAGTTTGGATTTCAGGAGAAAGGTCAGACCTGGAGGTAAAGATTTGGGTCCATCCGTATATGAATGGCATTTGACATCATGAGAATGGATGAGGTCAACAAGGGAGTAATTGCAGTTAGAGAGGAGATCCAAAGGTTGAGCCCCAGGGCACTCTGACATTTAGATGTCAGGCATTTAGGTGTCAGAGAGAGTAGTGACTAGCAAGCAAATGGAACCTTTTCCCATAGGATCCTATAGGAAACCTGATCCTGTAGGATTAGCCTATAAGGTAGGAGGAAACCAGGGGAGGGTGGTGTTTAGAAGTCAGTCTTTCTTGATTAATTGCATTAAATGCTATTGTCAAGTGTATCAAGTAAGACTTACAGTTATCATTGGATTTAGCCATTCAGCAGTGATTGATGACTTTGATGAGAGCAGTTCTGGTGGAGGGATGCGGACAAAGCCTGATTGAAATGATTTCAAGAGACAATGGAAGGAGCAAAATAGGAGCAGCAAGTATAGATATTAAAAAAAGAAGCTTTGCAATAAAGGTGAAAAACGGTATGTAATATCTTTGAAACGATAGGTGACATATATTGAGTACTTACTGTGTGACAGACACCGTTTCAGGTACTTGTATTTTGTTTAATGAGGAATAAAGAATTGAGGCAGTCCTTGCTTTGCATGATAGCAAGGACCATGCAAGCGAAAACTATGCAAAGCAATCTTCAAAATCAATGGGAAGGATTATGATTGTCGTGTGACCTTTAAAAATTTTTGTCAAAACGTTCAAAACTCTATAACTGGTGATTATTCATGTATTTGGAAGTGAAAAAATAGTAAAACTAATATTTATAGTACACTGTAATTTATGACATTAGGAACATTAAAAATTAAAATATTGCATTTTATTCTAAAAAACTTAGGAGAAATGTGAACATCACTTGCCTTCTCATCATACAGCTTACTGTATGAAGGAAGCATCATTTCTACGTTTGGGTCAGTTTCCAACATTTTATCCTTTCATCTTTCAATGTTGTGAAATGTCTCTGAGAATACATTTAATGTGAACTGTTTTTTTTTTTTTTTTTTTTTTTTTTTTTTTTTTTGAGATGGAGTCTCGCTCTGTCGCCCAGGCTAGAGTGCAGTAGTGCGATCTCCACTCACTACAAGCTCCGCCTCCCGGGTTCAAGTGATTCTCCTGCCTCAGCCTCTCCAGTAGCTGGGATCACAGGTGTGTGTCACCATGCCCACCTAATTTTTGTATTTTTAGTAGAGATGGGGTTTCGCCATGTTGGCCAGGCTGGTCTCGAACTCCTGACCTCTTGATCACCTCGGCCTCCCAAAGTGCTGGGATTACAGGCATGAGCCATCACACCTGGCCTTAATGTGGACTTTTTGCTGGCATCAGTTCCTCTAGGGCATCTTCATCCTTTTTGCCACAACCACTTCGCTCATTTATGTCCTTAAGTTTGCCTTCATGATGTCCCTCAGGCTGCATATCTAGAGTCTTTCCAACAGTGGCAGTGTCAACATTTCCATGGTTAGCTCTCTCTTCTGTAACCCCATTTATGTTCAATTTGAATGTCATTTCCAGTGACATCGCTTTTTGTTTCCTTGCTGCACTTTCATCCTTTTGGTCAATTCCCACTTTCAATTATCCAGTTTTGTAAAATGTCACTTGGATTTATTACCGGGAGAGAAGGAGGTAACACAACTACACACTTGGCCATCTCTGCCTGAACTGAATAACACACACACACAGTAGCCAATCACCAACAGACTTGGGAAGAAATGATGTGACTGGTCACTGATCGTGATGCCCATCTGTTACTTACATGGTGATTTGTGGACTGAAAAGCTAGCAGTGAACTTTATATTGTATGCAGTTACTCACATATAATTCACATGGTGACTGAAATTTGAACCATGTTGTTGAGGGATTGGTGTTAATTAAACTATGGTAACTGAAATTTCTGCATATTAGAATGGTGTACAGAACCTGTGCACAGTGAGGACCACCTGTAGTAATAGCTTTAAAGTAAAATATTGATAAAAAATAAAGTCTTCTTATGTGTAAAGACTTTACTTAAAGTCACATTTAGGTAAAACCTGACTTGAAGTTGTATACATATCTCTCTATAATGCTACAAATTAATTATACATAAACATGTACAAATTAGCTCTTCAGGAGACCCATTGCAACATTTCTTCTTCTTTCTACCTTTGTTCCTCTCTCCACAAATATATCCTCTTCTTCCAGTTATAAAATTAAGACTCTTATGTATTTAAATTGAAACAAAGCATAATAGTTGTATTTGTCCATTTTCACACTGCTATAAAGAATACCTGAGACTGGGTAACTTATAAAGGAAAGAGGTTTGTTTAATTAACTCACAGTTCCTCATGGCTGGGTTAAGCCTCAGGAAACTTACAGTCATGGTGGAAGGTGAAGGGGAAGCAAGCACCTTCTTCACAAGGTGGCAAGAGAGAGAGAGAGTGAAAGCAAAAGGGGAAGAGCCCCTTATAAAACCATCAGATCTCTTGAGAACTCACTGTCATGAGAACAGCATGGAGGAAACTGCCCCATGATCCAATCACCTCCCACCAGGTTCCTTGCCCAACACCTGGAGATTACAATTTGAGATGAGATTTGGGTGGGGACACAAAGCTAAACCATATCAATAGTGTGTGTGGAGGTAGTGGGTATTGAAGGGAGGACGAGCTGGTTGTGGAAGAGGTAATTGCTTATAACCAAAAGAAGCCCCCTAAAGCTATTAAGTTATATTATTAAATTAAATGTACATCTACCATATGACTCTATCATTCCACTTCTAGGACAAAGACTTGCACATGAGTGTTTATGATAGCTTTATTTGTGATAGCCCTAAACTAGAAATGACCAAAATGTCCTTCCACAGGTGATTAGATAAATATATTGTGGCATATTTATACAATGGAGTGCTGTTTAGCAATGAAAAGGAATGGACTTATATGTGGAATCCAAAAAGTCAAACTAATAGAAGCAGAGAGTAGAATGGTGGTTGTCAAGGACTTGGAGCAAAACGAATGGGGAGATGCTGGTGAAAGGGTACAAATTTCAGTTAGACAAGATGAGAAAGCTCTGGAGACCTATTGTAGAGATGGTGACTATAGTTAATAATGTTTTGTATACTTGTAAATTGTTAAGATATTAGATATTTAATGCCCTCACTACAAAACAATAAGTATGTGAGGCGATGGATATATTAAATAGCTTAATTTAATCATTTCACAATGTATACATATATCAAAACATTACATGTACACTGTAAATATGCATAATTTAAATTTGGCAGGTATACCTTAATAAAATGGTGGGGGTACAAAGACAACACCCTCCACAAAAAAAGGAAAGAATACTCAATAGTAAACCTGAAATTTTGGAGTTCTGTGGGAGGAAAAGTGTATGAATAGTATACTAAAGATATTGCAAGAAAAACGAATGGCTACTGACATGTGCAGCAATATGGGTGAAACTTCAAATACTATGCTGAGTGAATGAACCCAGACCAGGAGTAAATACTCTATGATTCTACTTATATAAAATTCTAGAACATGAAAATATTGGGTAACCCAATTCAAGTATTGAATTCAATACTTGAACAATTCAAGTATTGTTATCTGCTTATGTATAAAAGAAAAAGAATCCCTTTCTTTTTCTTAGAGCATGGTAAGTTGGTTTGGCTAAAAAGGACGAAGTTCTTGATAAGTAAAGTATTGCTTTGCCTTTGGTGATCGGAGTGATCTTAACAAAGAGTGGTACCTAGTAAAACAGTTTCACATCCCTCAGTGTTGCATGGAAACTTTTAACATACCTAAATATCTATGGACTAGAGTTCCTGCTATATCTGCTGGCCATTGTTTGACACTGCCCCCTCCCCCACCCCAAGTACGAAAGAGGTTGTAGTAACACCATTTGTCACACACACATATTTCATCCTAGATTCACCAGGTAATGAGGGTGGACATTTGTGTTTGGTAATTGCTTTTACCCAAAGGAATAATAGTACTTCTCATATCTCTGTGACGGGGAGGTAGTTACAATTTGGAGCCAGATACTTAAATTAACTCTCATGGAGTCTGGGAGATAGGGGCACTCTCTTCCTTGATGTTTACATTTCAAAGAGATGGCTTCCAGGTCCTTGAGAAAGACATTCCTTGGTTGTAAAGCTGGCAAGAAGGTTTGTTTAGCTTTTGAAAAGATTTACAGACATCTCAAAGAATTTACAATTGCAAATTTTCTAAAGGAAATGCTCCAGGATAAGGGAGAGGAGGTGTCTTTCCCTTTCCCTTTTTACACCAGGATTTTTATATTTTTATTTTTTTGGATTTGGGTTTACCCTTACAGTACTTATAATCTGAAATTCCTTGAATGTGGTCCAAAGTATATTTCTGTTCATTTGATCTCACTGGAGACTAGAGAAGAGTCTCCAAATATAATTTAACTTTGAAAAGTAAACTTTCTCCTTCAGGCCACTAATTAACTTACTCCAATTATTGTTATCCAAGCCCTTTCTTGGTTTATTCACTATCTCAACAAAGGAAGGCATTTTTAGGTAAGTTTAACCAACCCTGCTTTGGAGAAAGCCCTTCAAATTCAGTTCTCTTTTATTCTGGCAATGCCAATGAATATTAAATGTCAGATGTTGTGCCTATTGTCCTGGGCGCCAGGGACAAATGGTAAAAAAGACAGGCATGCTTCTGTTCCCTTTGGAGTTTATGTTCCGGCAGGGAATGAGACATTTAACCAGTGGTATTACCAGCAGGAGCCAGTGCCATGAGTGTGACTCATGGAAAAGCACAAAGTGCCATCTATAGGATAATATTGTGAAATGTCCTAACCTGGAACTGCAAGAGGTCAAGTTATGGAGGGCCTGCAAACCTTAATAAAGATTTAGGATTAAAAATTCAGTGCCTTGAGCCCGTTCCTAGAGCTTTTGATTCTTTCGGTTTGGTGCAGCTCAAGAGCCCATACTTTAACAAGCTCCTCTTGTTCTGATGCAATTAGTCCCAATACTTTCCTTTGGACACTCTGGGCTATAAAGCCTTTGAACGTTTTAAAGCCAGAGATTGGTATAATTGGATTTGATTCGATTGATGGAAGGATGGGGCAAGAATGGTTGTAAGGGATTTAGGGAGCTACTGTAGTAGTTAGGCAAAGAATAAGGGTAGCTTGGACTAGTGGGCATATAGAGAAGGGACATCTATGTCACTAAGCATTTGAGAAATATTTAGGAGTGGAATAGGATCTTGTGATTGTTTAAATGTGAAAGGAGTTGCTGAGGGAGAAGAAGGAATCAAGGATGACTCCCAGGTTTCAGACTTGAGTAATGGGCTGGGTGGTGATGTCATTTCCTGAGATGGTGAACACTGGGAGGAACAGCAGTTGGAATTGAGGTATAGGAAGGAGGAGTTAATATTTTGGACACCGAGTCAGCCATGCAGAGATGTTTAGTAGGCAGTTAGATCCAGCAGTTTGAAGCTTAGGAGACAGGGCTGGAGTTTGCATGTAGATTTGAGAGTGGACAGCTGAGAGATGGCAATTGGAGGGCAATGGATGAGACCCCACGGTGTTAGTTCATTTTGCATAGCTATAAAGGAATACCCAAGCCTGAGTAATTTATAAAGAAAAGAGGTTTATTTGGCTCACAGTTCTGCAGGCTGTACAAGAAGCATAGGAGGACATCCGCTTCTGACGAGGGGGTCAGGAAGCTTATAATCATGGTGGAAGGTGAAGAGGGAGCAGATGTGTCACATGGAGAGAGAAGGAGCAAGAGAGACATCAGGCTTTTTAAAATAACCAGCTGTCCTGTGAACTAATAGATAACTCACTCATTACTGTGGGGAGCACACCAAGCCATTTGTGAGGAGTCCAACCCCATGACCCAAACATTTCCCACTAGGCCTCATCTCCAACACTGGGGATCACATTTCAACATGAAATTTGGAGGGGGACACACATCCAAACCATACCACTGCCCAAAGAAAGCCTCTAGATGGAGAAGGAAAGAAGACCCAGAAGGAAGCCAGAGCAATGTCAGACTGTTTTGGTCAAGGAAGAGGAAGAAGAGCCAGCAGTAGATACTAAAAAGGAACAGCTAGGAAGATGGAAGGAAAACTATAATCCCTTGGCCAAGTGATTGGCTCAGGGGTGGCCACATGGCCCATACAGATTTCTTTCTAGGATAGATAAATGAATGTTGGGGAGAAAATTCTTTCTTTCCTATTGTGTTTGCTAAGCTAAAAAGACGTTAATCTGGTCCATGAGCAGCCACCTTTCCTGCTGCATGTGAGAGCTTTTCTGAAGAAGGAAGCTGGTGCACAACCAGAAGCAAAGTTGAAAAATGGAGAGCAATGAGCTCTGATGACACTGTGTGAGAGGTGATTCTAGCTGTTATGTTGAATCCCTTATTTACCAGTTACGTGATAATGACCTTTCTTACCTAAGCTAATTGACTTAAGCTTTTGTCATTAGCAACTGAAAGTATCCTAATTAATACAGCGACCGTTGGTTAAAGTATTCACTGTATTGTTGTGGGAGACCCTTATTAAATACCTTTATGGGCCTGAAGCCCACTATTCCTATCCTTCTGCAATTACCGTAACAAAAAATAGGATAATTAATTTGTGACTTTTTAATTTTAAGTTACTTCAGAACAGTATGCTCCTTTTCAGGAAAATAAATTATATTACAACAAGGGAAGGCAGTATTTGCTAGATTCCTTTGAGAAATCTCTAGAGATTATACTTGCTTGCTGTTTTAATGTTTCAACTAGGGGATGGAGAGGGACCTGCCTCAAACAAGATACCAGAGTTATGATTGGATTTGTCGAGGTCCCGTCATTTCTATCCCAGGGGATAAATAAAAGGAGGCAGAACCCTTGTGCTGTTGTGTCCACAAAACTTGGGTGTTTAACCCTCAGGACCAGGTCAGTTCCTAGCTTAGTGTGGGGCAGTGGGGTGAAGGTTTCCCACTTTTGACAGAAGGCTTAAAACTGTGATGTAATATTTGAATAATACTTAGTGTTGCCTGAGGAGAATGATCAGAGAGCTTTGATTGGTCTTTTGTGTCTTGCTGTCCTGAAATTTCTATCTCGTTTCTTAACAGGTTTCAAAGTAAGCCTAGCACAGAGAAGGAACTCATCTCAGATTTTGGTAAGGTTTTAAAACACATACGATAATTTAATTTAGAGCATTGTTGCCTAAAAAGAGCAGTACACTATCTCAGATAAATTAAAATGGCAACAATAGCGCTTTCCTTAGAACATGTGAAGAGGGCAGATACTTTTAATTTTGTGTGTGTGTGTGAAAAAGGAAGTGAAATTTTAAAAATAAGAAATACAAATCTAAAAGGTGAATGACACCTGGTAAGAACAACAACACAGATCATATTTAAGGAAATTCATAAAATTAAACTTGAATTTTAAAGTTAAGTTAGAAGACATGTAATTTAAAAACCTTTGGGAAGTAGTAAATCTACTGGTGCAGTGTAGAAATCTCCCATGTAGTAATTCAGTTTCCTTTTCAAATGCTCATTGATGGCATTTAATTCTGTCTGTTGGCAAATTTTTGAAATCTATCTCCCTTCTAAAGGGAACTGAGGACTTCATCTCAGTTGTGTACTTTTCATTCACCTTTCCACTCTTCAGTAAAACAAATACCCCTCATAAGCAATATTCAACACCACTATGTTTATACACCACCCTTCCTATACACTTGCAAGTAACTGTAGCGAAAGATTCAACCATCTTTTCCTCCTACCTCGGCATTGAAGGAACATAGCACAGGTACCATTAAGAATAGCCATACACAAATTGAGAGAGGCTTTAATCCACCTTTCAACTGAAGAATGAAAGATGGATTAAAGCCTCTCTCATTTTGTGCTCCTGGGCAAGTGGTGGCTGGCACGCACACATTTATTGAGTGCCTGTACCGTGTCAGTAGCTATGCAAGGTTGAGAGGATACAGAGATGAAAAAAATATATTTCCTGCTCTTAAGTAGTTCACAGCTTATTGTAAATCCAAATACAAAACACAGCAGTGTATAGGCTCCTCAGCATTGAGGCTGAGGTTAGGAATGCAGCTGTTAGCTCCAAAACAAGGCAGTTGGCTGACCTGGGATCCACATTCAAGACACTGGCCTTGTCAAAACTGCAGTTTAACAAACTGAGTTAAGCAACTAGAACTATCTGTTCAGTCTCAGTGTTACCCTGAGTACTCATGAAAGAATTTCAGAAAAAATTCCTAGGCAATTTCCTCTTTACAGACAAAGCAATGCTAACATGATTTTTTATTTGGGATTTAGAGCATATTTTTCATTAGTTTTAACTATATTTTCAACATTTACATATCCTCTTTCTCCCTTCCTCCCTGCATAACAGTCAATTATGTTTCTTCAGTTATTCATCCCTGTTTGAAAGCAGCTGCAAGGTGCCTTAGTTAATACAGCTGCAACTACTAAGGTCTTGTATGGCCACCTTAGCCCCATAATGCCATCAACTACTATCACATTTGTCTAATCTGTCAATCCCATGCCTTCCACCACTGTATTTTGAATCTGAGTGCACTAAGACTTTCTCCAACACTTCTCTACTCTGTATGTGTGTCATTTCATAAGAAGCTTTGTTCCCATAGGAGGTGTGGTTGCCTTGAGAGATCTGCGAATGTACAATCAATCCACAGAGTTTTTTTTCAGCCAATTGTTAGTTGTAATTTCTCATCATTGGATTACAACAGTTAGGTTCCTCCCACTGCTCCCAGCATCCAGCTACTAATAATTCTACTCCTCCTTCACTTCCTAGCGTTTGTCATTCACAAAGTTTCTACTTAGGAAACCTTGCCAAACTTACTTTATATTCTCTTTGCTTTTCATTTTTCATTTACTACTACCCTAATCTATAGTCTGTATATTCCTTATAAACATAAGTTTTGAAAGCAACAGTAAGATTTTACAATTTCAATATATAGATTTGTTAAAATACTTAAATTGTTTAAGAAATAGCAGCTGACATATTTGAGCCAGACTGCTTTGGTTTAAACCCCAGCTCTGCCACTCGCTGGTTGGGCTACTCATTTGGACTCTTTAAGCATCTGAAAAATAAGTATAATAATAACATATAGGTAGTATTACATAGTGGTTAGAGTGAGAGGATTCTGGCGTTGTGTTCAAATCTTAGCTCTGTCACTTATTTGCTGTCTAATCTTGATCAAATTTACGTAAGTTTTCTAAAGCACAGTTTGCTCTTTTATCCAAGGATAATGATAGCACCTGCCTTAGGAGATTGTTGTATAAATGCAAGGCCTTAAGCCCAGTGCCTGGCACATCTTAGTACTAAACACATGGTCGCTGTTCTTAGGAAAAACACATAGAGTTAAAATTGATCAACCAAAACTCAGATATATAGCTTTCTAACTTTTCTGTGTCTGGCTTAATATTGTTCCTGTTGTTGATGGGTAGGGGAAAAAGCAAAAGTTCCCATCCCAGGCAATAGTCTATTACAGTTTAAGCGGGTATCTTTCAGATGACTCCCACATTTCTTTTGTTGGTAGAATGGAAAGTCTTAGAGGATTCCTCTCCCTGCCATACCCCTGTGATCACACTCCCTTCCTTCTTCTCTTTCCCTGATTGGTCTCTGGGCAGAGAAAGAAGCTTGCATCACCTCGTGGTAGTAGGAGTTCCATCCCAAGAGGACTGTTCCTCTGCTGCTTCCCACTGACCCCTGGCTGATGTGCAACTCATGCTACCTCACCTTTGAGTGTCTGATGCTATTCTTTCTGCATCTACCACTGATGCTTTTATGGGTTGTGTAGCTTGTGGCCTGTTTTCCAGTCAAGGGAAATGAAAGATGGTTGCTCTTCCATGGAGAACTTGGGAAAGTTCTCCGTCATGTCTTCCTGATGACTGAGCCCCCACTGGGCTCCTACTGATGCTGATGACCTAATGTGACTCAGCAGCTCTCCTTTTCCATACCCCTCCCCTATCCCTTTGTATTGTTCAACTCTGCCGTCCTTTCCAATTGACTAATGGAATTATATATCCTGCAAGTTATTCAGTTATCAAAATTCCAAGTGGAAAGTGAAATTCAAGTCCCCTCTTTGCTTTTGGCATAGCCTCAAACTATCTGGGGTATTTTTATTGCACTTTCCCTAAGTTTGGGATGTGGGGGGGTAGAATTGAGGACGTCCTTGATGACTGCATGTGCTCTCTCCCTCTCTCTTTTTCTTTCTCCTCTCTGGGCTTGTTTTCCCAGTGCCCAAAGGGCTTTCCACCTTTCCTCTCTAGGTAGCGGGAATGCCATATCTTTTTTGTTGTCTACTCCGTGGCTTTTTGTAAGATTCTGATCAAGTTGGCCAGACTTGACTCTCTTGATTTATGATCTACAATATATGAAGGGATATTAGAAATCCCCGTTATTCTCCTTAAAAAACAAACCAAGTTAGCTTTCACGTCTTTTCTGTTTCTGCGGGCTAGAATTCTGGTTTGAACATGTAAACTGAGCAACACTTCTCTTTCCACCTGAAATGATGAACATTGTTGATTAGGTAGGTGGGACTTGCAGGATAACATGACATATGGGAAATGAAATTTATATCACTTTAGTCTTTCAAAAATGTTCTTATTTCTATTTGTTTATAGAATGATAAAAAAGCAGAAAAATAATCATTCATAATTCCATCTCCAAGACATAGTCACTGTTAATAGTATTTCCTAGCTGGGTGCTAACTGGGTGACTTAGAGCAAGTCAATTTATCACTTTGATCCTTAGTGTCCTTTTCTGCTAAATGGGAATAACTCTTCCTCCTCCTCCCAGAGAGGGTTGTTTTGATTCCAAATGATATTTTTTTAAATTTCAAATTTTTGTGGTAACATAATAGGTGTATGTATTTATGGGGTATATGAGATATTTTGATATAGGCATACAATGTGTATTAAACACATCAGGGTAAAAGGGGTATCCATCATCTCAAACATTTATACTTCCCTTGTGTTATAAACAATTCAATTATATATTTCTAGTTATTTTTATTTTTTGAGACAGTCTCTTACTCTGTTGCCCAGGCTGGAGTGTAGTGGCACGATCTTGGCTCACTGCATCCTCCACCTCCCAGGTGGAAGCAATTCTCCTGCCTCAGCTTCCTGAGTAGCTGGGATTGCAGGTGCCTACCATCACGCCTGGCTAATTTTTGTCTTTTTTTTTTTTTTTTTTTTTTTTTAAGTAGAGACGGGGTTTCACCATGTTGGCCAGGCTGGTCTTGAACTCCTGACCTCAAGTGATCCTGCCACCTCGGCCTCCCAAAGTGTTGGGATTACAGGCGTGAACCACCACGCCTGGCCATTCTAGTTTTTAAATGTACAATACATTATTGTTGACTATAGTCACCCTGTTGTGCTATCAAATAATAAATCTTATTTATCCACTGTATTTTTGTACCCATTAATCATCCCCACTCCCCAAACACACTACCCTTCCCAGTGTCTGGTAACCATCCTTCTATCTCCATGAGTTCAATTGTTTTAAGTTTTTAGCTCCCACAAGTAAGTGAGAACACGTGAAGTTTTTCTTTCCGTGCCTGGCTTATTTCACTTAACATAATGACCTCCAGTTCCATCCCTGATGTTGCAAATGACAGGACCTCATTGTTTTTTACGGCTAAATAGTACTCCATTGTGTATATGTACTACATTTTCTTTATTCATTCATCTGTCGATGGACACTTAGGTTGATCCTAACTTTTGGCTATTGTGCTGCAATAAACATGAGAGTGCAGATATTTCTTTAATATACTGATTTCCATTTTTGGGGGTATATGCTTAGCAGTGGAATTGCTGGATTGTATGATAGTTCTATTTTTGTTTTTTTGAGGAACTACCAAACTGTTCTTCATAGTGGTTGTACTAATTTACATTCCCACCAACAGTGTACAAGGGTTCCTTTTTCTCCACATTCTCACCAGCATTTTTTATTGCCTGTGTTTTGGATAAAAGCCATTTTATTATAACTGGGGTAAGGTGATAGCTCACTGTAGTTTTGATTTGCATTTCTCTGATGATCAATAAGGTTGAGCATGTTTTCATATACCTGTTTGCCATTGGTATGTCTTCTTTGTAGAAATGTCAGTTCATATCTTTTGCCCATTTTTAAATTGGATTATTAGATATTTTCCTATAGAGACATTTGAGCTCCTTATATATTCTGGTTATTAATGCCTTGTCAGGTGAGTAGGTTGCAAATATTTTCTCCCATTCTGTGGGTTGTCTCTTCACTTTGTGGATTGTTTCCTTTGCTGTACAGAGGCTTTATAATTTGATATGATCCCATTTGTCCATTTTTGCTTGGTTGCCTGTGATTATGTATTATAGTCAAGAAATCCTTGACTACTCCAGTGTCCTGGAGAGTTTCCCCAATGTTTTCTTCTAGTAGTTTCATAGTTTGAGGTCTTAGATTTAAATGTTTAATCCATTTTGATTTGATGCTTGTTTATGGTGAGAGATAGGGGTTGTTTCATTTTTCTGCATATGGATATCCAGTTTTCCCAGCATCATTTATTGAAGAGACTGTCCTTTCCCCAATGTATATTCTTGGTACCTTTGTCAAAAATGAGTTCATTGTAGATGTATGGATTTGTTTCTGGGTTCTCTATTCTGTTCTATTGGTCTGTGTGTTTCTTGTTATGCCAGTACTATGCTGTCTTGTTTACAATACGTCTGTAGTATAGCTTGAAGTCAGGCAATGTGATTTCTCCAGTTCTGTTCTTTTTGCTCATGATAGCTTTGCTATTCTGGGTCTTCTTTGTGGTATTATGTACATTTTAGGATTTTTTTTTCTATTTCTGTGAAGAATATTATTGGTATTTTGATAGAAATTGCATTGAATCTGAAGATTGCTTTGGGCAGTATGGACATTTTAACAATATTGATTCTACCAGTCAATGAATATGGAATGTCTTTCCTTTTTGTATGAAAAAAGTTTCTTGCATCAGTGTTTTATAGTTTTCATTATAGAGAGCTTTCACTTCTTTGGTTAAATTTATTCCTAGGTATTTAATTTTATTTATAACTATTGTAAATTGAATTACTTCCTTGATTTCTTTTTCAGATTGTTTACTATTGGTATACAGAGATGCTACTGATTTTTGTATGTTGATTTTGTATCCTGCAAGTTTACTGAATTTTCGTATCAGTTCTAATAGTTATTTGGTGGAGTCTTTAGGTTTTTCCAAATACAAGCTCACATCATCTGCAAACAAGGATAATTTGACTTCTTCCTTTCTAATTGCTATAAAACTTCCTTTCCAGTTTGGATGCCTTTTATTTGTTTCTCTTGTCTGATTGCTCTAGCTAGGACTTCCCATCCTATGTTGGACAACAGTTGTAAAACTGGGCATACTTGTCTTGTTCCAGATCTTAGAGAAAAGGCTTTAAGTTTTCTCCATTCAGTATGATACTAGCTATGGGTCTGTGGCACATTACTTTTATTGTGTTGAGGTCTGTTCCTTCTATACCCAGTTTTTTTAAGGGTTTTTATCATGAAGGGATGTTGAATTTTATCAAATGCTTTTTCAGCATTAATTGAAGTGATCGTATGGTTTTTGTATGTGATATGATATATCACATTGATTTGCATATGTTGAGCCATCCTTGCGTCCCTGGGATAAATCCCACTTGGTTATGATGAATGATCATTTTAATGTGTTGTTGAATTCAGTTTGCTAGTATTTTGTTGAGGATTTTTGCATCAATGTTTATCAGTGATATTGACCTTTAGCTTTCCTTTTTTGATATATTATGATCTGGTTTTGGTGTCAGAGTAAAACAGCCTTCATAGAATGAGTTTGGAAGTATTCTAACCTCCTTTATTTTTTGGAATAGTATGAGTAAGATTGCTATTCATTCTTTAAACACTTGGGAGAATTCAGCAATGAAGCCATCAGGTCCTGGGCTTTTCTTTGCTGGGAGACTTTTTGTTATGGCTTCAATATTATTACTTGTGATTGGCCTATTTAGGTTTTGGATTTATTCATGACTTAATATTGGGAGGTTTTACGTGCCTAGGAATCTATCAGTTACTTCTAGGTTTTCCAATTTATTGGCATGTGGTTGCTCATAGTAGCCTCTAATGATCCTTTGCATTTGTGTAGTTTTGGTTTTAATGTCTCCTTTTTCCTCTTTATTTATTTAGGTCTTCTCTCTTTTTTTCTTAGTTGAGCTAAACGTTTGTCAATTTTGTTTATCTTTTGAAAACATCAACTTTCCTAGTTGGAAGTAAAGCACTCCTCAGCAAATGTAAAAGAACAGAAATTATAACTAACTGTCTCTCAGACCACAGTGCAATCAAACTAGAACTCAGGATTAAGAAACTCACTCAAAACTGCTCAACTACATGGAAACTGAACAGCCTGCTCCTGAATGACTACTGGATACATAACGAAATGAAGGCAGAAATAAAGATGTTCTTTGAAACCAATGAGAACAAAGACACAACATACCAGAATCTCTGGGACACATTCAAAGCAATGTGTAGAGGGAAATTTATAGCACTAAATGCCCACAAGAGAAAGCAGGAAAGATGAAAAATTGACACCCTAACATCACAATTAAAAGAACTAGAGAAGCAAGAGCAAACACATTCAAAAGCTAGCAGAAGGCAAGAAATAACTAAGATCAGAGCAGAACTGAAGGAGATAGAGACACAAAAAACCCTTCAAAAAATCAATGAATCCAGGAGCTGGTTTTTTGAAAAGATCAACAAAATTGATAGACCGCTAGCAAGACTAATAAAGAAGAAAAGAGAGAAGAATCAAATAGACGCAATAAAAAATGACAAAGGGGATATGACCACTGATCCTCCAGAAATACAAATTACCATCAGAGAATACTATAAACACCTCTATGCAAATAAACTAGAAAATCTAGAAGAAATGGATAAATTCCTCGACACATACACCCTCCCAAGACTAAACCAGGAAGAAGTTGAATCTCTGAATAGACCAATAACAGGCTCTGAAATTGAGGCAATAATTAATAGCTTACCAACCAAAAAAAGTCCGGGACCAGATGGATTCACAGCCGAATTCTACCAGAGGTACAAAGAGGAGCTGGTACCATTCCATCTGAAACTATTCCAATCAGTAGAAAACGGGAATCCTCCCTAACTCATTTTATGAGGCCAGCATCATCCTGATACCAAAGCCTGGCAGAGACACAACAAAAAAAGAGAATTTTAGACCAATATCCTTGATGAACATTGATGCAAAAATCTTCAATAAAATACTGGCAAACGGAATCCAGCAGCACATCAAAAAGCTTATCCACCATGATCAAGTGGGCTTCATCCCTGGGATGCAAGGCTGGTTCAACATATGCAAATCAATAAACGTAATCCAGCATATAAACAGAACCAAAGACAAAAACCACATGATTGTCTCAACAGATGCAGAAAAGGCCTTTGACAAAATTCAACAACGCTTCATGCTAGAAACTCTCACTAAATTAGGTATTGATGGGACATATCTCAAAATAATAAGAGCTATCTATGACAAACCCACAGCCAGTGTCATACTGAATGGACAAAAACTGGGAGCATTCCCTTTGAAAACTGGCACAAGACACGGATGCCCTCTCTCACCACTCCTATTCAACATAGGGTTGGAAGTTCTGGCCAGGGCAATCAGGCAGGAGAAGGGAAGAAAGGGCATTCAATTAGGAAAAGAGGAAGTCACATTGTCCCTGTTTGCAGATGACATGATTGTATATCTAGAAAACCCCGTCGTCTCAGCCCAAAATCTCCTCAAGCTGATAAGCAACTTCAGCAGTCTCAGGATACAAAATCAATGTGCAAAAATCACGAGCATTCTTATACACCAATAACAGACAAACAGAGAGCCAAATCATGAGTGAACTCCCATTCACAATTGCTTCAAAGAGAATAAAATACCTAGGAATCCAACTTACAAGGGACGTGAAGGACCTCTTCAAGAAGAACTACAAACCACTGCTCAATGAAATAAAAGAGGATACAATCAAATGGAAGAACATTCCATGCTCATGGGTAGGAAGAATCAATATCGTGAAAATGGCCATACTGCCCAAGATGATTTATGGATTCATTGGCCTCCCCATCAAGCTACCAATGACTTTCTTCACAGAATTGGAAAAAACTAAAGTTCATATGGAACCAAAAAAGAGCTCACATTGTCAAGTCAATCCTAAGCCAAAAGAACAAAGCTGGAGGCATCACGCTACCTGACTTAAAGCTATACTACAAGGCTACAGTAATCAAAACAGCATGGTACTGATACCAAAACAGAGATATAGACCAATGGAACAGAACAGAGACCTCAGAAATAATGCCGCATATCTACAACTATCTGATCTTTGACAAACCTGACAAAAACAAGCGATGGGGAAAGGATTCCCTATTTAATAAATGGTGCTGGGAAAACTGGCTAGCCATATGCAGAAAGCTGAAACTGGATGCCTTCCTTACACCTTATACAAAAATTAATTCAAGATGGATTAAAGACTTAAATGTTAGACCTAAAACCATAAAAACCCTAGAAGAAAACCTAGGCAGTACCATTCAGGCCATAGGCATGGGCAAGGACTTCATGTCTAAAACGCCAAAAGCAATGGCAACAAAAGCCAAAATGTACAAATGGGATCTAATTAAACTAAAGAGTTTCTGCGGCCGGGCGCGGTGGCTCACGCCTGTAATCCCAGCACTTTGGGAGGCCGAGGCGGGTGGATCATGAGGTCAGGAGATCGAGACCATCCTGGCTAACAAGGTGAAACCCCGTCTCTACTAAAAATACAAAAAATTAGCCGGGCGCGGTGGCGGGCGCCTGTAGTCCCAGCTACTTGGGAGGCTGAGACAGGAGAATGGCGTGAACCCGGGAAGCAGAGCTTGCAGTGAGCCGAGATTGCGCCACTGCAGTCCGCAGTCCGGCCTGGGCGACAGAGCGAGACTCCGTCTCAAAAAAAAAAAAAGAGTTTCTGCACAGCCAAAGAAACTACCATCAGAGTGAACAGGCAACCTACAGAATGGGAGAAAATTTTCGCAACCTACTCATCTGACGAAGGGCTAATATCCAGAATCTACAAAGAATTCAAACAAATTTACAAGAAAAAAACAACCCCATCAAAAAGTGGGCGAAGGATATGAACAGACACTTCTCAAATGAAGACATTTATGCAGCCAAAAACACATGAAAAAATGCTCATCATCACTGGCCATCAGAGAAATGCAAATCAAAACCACAATGAGATACCATCTCACACCAGTTAGAATGGCGATCATTAAAAAGTCAGGAAACAACAGGTGCTGGAGAGGATGTGGAGAAATAGGAACACTTTTACGTTGTTGGTGGGACTGTAAACTTGTTCCACCATTGTGGAAGTCAGTGTGGCGATTCCTCAGGGATCTAGAACTAGAAATACCATGTGACCCAGCCATCCCATTACTGGGTATATACCCAAAGGATTATAAATCATGCTGCTATAAAGACACATGCACACGTGTGTTTATTGAGGCACTAATCACAATAGCAAAGACTTGGAACCAACCCAAATGTCCAACAATGATAGACTGGATTAAGAAAATGTGGCACAGATACACCATGGAATACTATGCAGCCATAAAAAATGAAGAGTTCATGTCCTTTGTAGGGACATGGATGAAGCTGGAAACCATCATTCTGAGCAAACTATTGCAAGGACAAAAAACCAAACACCGCATATTCTCACTCATAGGTGGGAATTGAACAATGAGAACACATGGACACAGGAAGGGGAACATCACGCTCTGGGGACTGTTGTGTGGTCGGGGGAGGGGGGACGGATAGCATTAGGAGATATACCTAATGCTAAATGATGAGTTAATGGGTGCAGCACACCAACATGGCACATGTATACATATGTAACAAACCTGCACATTGTGCACATGTACCCTAAAATTTAAAGTATAATAATAATAAAATAAATAAAATAAAAACATCAACTTTCCATTTTGTTGATATTTTGTATTTTTTGTTTGAATTTTATTTCTGCTCTGATCTTTATTATTTAAGAGCATATTGTTTAATTTTCGTGTATTTGTATAGTTTCCAAAAATCCCTCTTGTTATCGATTTGTAGTTTTATTCCATTGTTTTCAGAAAGATACTTGATATAATTTCAGTTTTAAAAAAGTCTTTAAAGGCTTTTTTGTGGCCTAACATATGGTCCATCCTTGAGAATTATCCAGGTGCTGAGAAGAATGTGTTTTCTGTAGGCATTGGATGAAATGTTCTCTAAATATCTGTTAGGTCAACTTGATCTGTAGTGCAGATTAAGTCCAATGTTTCTTTTTCTTTTTTTTTTTTTTTGACACGGAGTCTTGCTCCATCGCCCAGGCTGGAGTGCAGTGGCACGATCTCGGCTCACTGCAAGCTCCGCGTCCTGGGTTCACGCCATTCTCCTGACTCAGCCTCCCAAGTAGCTGGGACTACAGGCACCCGCCAGCATGCCTGGCTAATTTTTTTGTATTTTTAGTAGAGACGGGGTTTCACAGTGTTAGCCAGGATGGTCTCAATTTCTTGACCTCGTGATCCGCCTGCCTTGGCCTCCCAAAGTGCTGGGATTACAGGCATGAGCCACTGCACCCAGCCTAAGTCCAATGTTTCTTTGTTGATTTTCTGTCTGGATGATCTGTCCAATGCTGAAATTGGGGTGTTAAATTTTCCAATTATTATTGTATTGGAGTTTTTGTTCTCTTTAGCTCTAATAATATTTGTTTTACATATCTGGGTGCTCCAATGTTGAGTACATATATATTCACAATTGTTATATCCTCTTTCTGAATTGACCATTTTATTATTATATAATGCCCTTCTTTGTCTCTTTTTATAGTTTTTGTCTTGAAATCTATTTTATTTGATATAAGTATAGCTACTCCTGCTATACTTAAAAACTTTTTTGGTTTCCATTAGCATGAAATGTCTTTTTCCATCCCTGTATTTTCAGTCTATGTATGTCTTATGGTGAAGTATGTTTCTTGTAGGCAACAGATTATTTTGTCTTTTTGTTTTTATCCTTTCAGCCACTCTGTTACTTTTGATTGAAGAGTTTAGTTCATTTACATTCAATGTTATTATTGATAAGCAAGGGCTTACTCCTGCCATTTTGTTATTTGTTTTCTGGTTACTTTCTGGTCTTCTCTTCCTTCTTTCCCGTCTTCATGTCTTCCTTTTAGTGAAGGTGATTTTCTCAGGTGGTATGTTTTAACTTCTTGCTTTTTATTTTGTGTAACTGTTGTATGTTTTTTGATTTGTTACTGTGAGGTTTTCAAATAATATCTTATAACCCATCATTTTGAACCGATGACAACTTAACACTGATTGTGCAAACAACAAAATAACAAGCCAAGAGTAAACTAATGTGAACACTACACTTTATCTTCTTGCTTTTTAACTTTTTGTTTTTATTTATACTGTATACTATGTCTTGAAAAGTTGTAGTTATTATTTTTTATTTGTTCATCATTTAGTCTTTCTACTCATGATATAGTTTATACACTACAATTACGGTGTTATAATATTCTGTATTTTTCTGTGTTTTTACTATTATTAATGAATACCTTCACATGATTTTATATTGCTCATTTACCCCCTTTTTTTTCCAGACTGAAGAACTCCCTTTATCATTTCTTATAGAAAAGGTCTGGTATTGATGAAATCCTTCAGCTTTTGTTTGGGAAAGTCTTAGTTTCTCCTTCATATTTGAAGGATTTTTTTGCTGGATATACTATTCTATGGTAAAAGTTTTTTCCTTCAGCACTGAATATGTTATGCCACTCACTCTTGGCCTGTAAGGTTTCCACTGAGAAGTCTGCTGCCAGACATATTAGAGCTCCATAATATGTTACTTGTTTCTTTTCTCTTGCTGCTTTTAGGATCATTTTTAAATCCTTGACCTTTGGGGGTTTGATTATTAAATGCGTTGAGGTCGTCTTCTTTGGATTAAATCTGCGTGATATCTTATATCCTTTTTGTACTTGAATATTGATATATTCCCTAGGTTTGGGAAGTTCTTTGTTGTTATCTCTTTGAATAAACTTTCTACCCCTATCTCGTTATCCACCTCCTCTTTAAGGCTAATACCTCTTAGATTTGCTCTTTTGAGACTCTAGATGTTGTAGGCTTACTTTCTTCTTTTTTATTCTTTTTTTTCTTTTGTCTCCCTGGCTGTGTATTTTCAAATAGCCTGTATTCAAACTCACTAATTCTTTCTTCTCCTTGATCATTTTGCTACTAAGAGACTATGATGCATTCTTCAATAGACCAATTGCCTTTTTCAGCTTCAGAATTTCTGCTAGATTCTTTTTAATTATTTCAATCTCTTTGTTCAATGTATCTGATATGATTCTGACTTTCTTCTCTGTTATCCTGGATTTTGTTGAGCTTCCTTAAAACAGCTGTTTTGAATTCTCTGTCTGAAAGGTCGCGTATCTCTTCCTCTCTGGGATTTGTTACTGGTGTATTTAGTTTATTTAGGAAGTTAATGTTTTCCTGAATGTTCTTGACGCATGTGGATGTTCTTCAGTGTCTGGGCATTGAAGAGTTAGGTATTTATTGTAGTCTTCATGGTCTGGGCTTGTGTGCACCTGTCCTTCTTGGGAAGGCTTTCCAGGTGCTCGGAGGGACTTGTGTGTTGTGATGTAAGTCTTTGGTCACTGCAACCATACTGGCTTTAGGGCACACCCTAAACCCAGTAATACTGTGGCTCTTGCAGACTCAGAGGTACCACCTTGGTGGTTTTGGGTGAGATCTGGGAGAATTCTCTGGATTGCCAGGCAGACATTTTTGTTCTCTTCCTTTACTTTCACCCAAGCGAACAAAAGTCTCTGTCTTTATGCTGAGTTGCCTGGAGCTGGGGGAGGAGTGACACAAGCACCTCTGTGGCCACCACCAGTGGGACGGTGCTGGATCAGACCTGAAACCAGCACAGCACTGGGTCTCACCCAAGGCCTGCAGTGACCACTGCCTGGCTACTGCCTATGTTCGCTCAAGGTTCAAGAGCTTCTACAGTCAGCAGGTGGGAAATCCAGCCAGGCTTACGTCCTTCCTCACAGGGCAGTGAGTTCTCTCTGGCTGCTGGTGGGTCCAGAGATGCCATTCAGGGGCCCGGGCCTATAGTTGAGAACCTTAGTGCTCTGTTCTACTGTGGCTGAACTGGACCCAAACCACAAGACAAAAGTTTTCTCCACTCTTTCCTCAAGCAGAAGGGTCTCTCCTCATGGCCGCCCCTACCCCAGGAGCCCACTTGGTGCTCTGCCCCACTGTAACCAAGTTGGTACCCAAGCTGCAAAACAAAGTCCCCTTTACTCTTCCTTCTTTCCTCAAGCAGAAGCAGTATCTTCCTATAGCCACCACAGCTGAGAATGTGCTGGGTCACACCTGCAGCCAGCATGGCTCTGAGTCTCACCCAAGGCCTGAAGTGAGTACTGCCTGACTACTATTAGCTTATTCAGGGCCTAAGGGCTCTTTAGTTAGTAGACGATGAATTTCACCAGGACTAGGTCTTTCACTTTAACGCAAGGGGTTCCCTTATTCCCCAGGGTGTGTTTAGAAATGTCTGGGAGCTGGGATCTGGACTGGGGGCTGTAGGATTCTGCCTGGTGCCCTATCCTACTGTGGCTCATCTGGTTTCCAAGTTGCAAGACAAAGTCCTCTTTACTTGTCTCTGTCCTCTCCTTGAGCGCAGGAAATAAGTCTCTCCTGGAGCTGCAAGCTGCACTGCTTGGGGTTGGGAGACAGATGACACAAGCACTCTCCTGGCCATAGCAGCTGGTATCTCACTTGGTCATGTGCACCCCAAGTCAGCTGACTCCAAGCCCAGCATAGCACCAGGACTTGCCCAGGAGTTGCAATCCCTTTGGCCTAGATTGCCTTTCAAATTAATTTAGGACCCCACCCCAGAGCTTTTTAGCCCATGGTGGTGGGTCTTGCTGGAACTCAGGTCCTTATTTCTGGGATGGACAACTTGCCTCTCATTAGGGCTGGTCTAAATGCTCCCTCTGTGGGTGCCAGCTGAGTTCTGTCCCATGTTGCTTTCCAGGGCAGGACTTAGTTTCAATGCTATGTCCCACAATCACTGTGCTCTCCCTTCCCAAGTGCACAGATTTTCCCTCTATGCCATGCCACTGCTGCTGGGGAAGGGGTGGCATAGGCAATTCAAGACTGTCTTTCCTACCCTCTTCAGTTTCTCTTTCCTTAATATGATGTTAAAACCAGGTACTGTGATATCCCTCATCTGATTTTTGGTTCTTTAGGTTCTTTATTGTATGGATAGTTGTTCAATTTGTTGTTTCTGCAGTGGGGAGGATCACAGGAGGCTTCCATTTGGCCATTTGGTTCCACCTCCTCAACATTTTGTTTTGTTTTGTTTTTTAATCATAGAAGTAGTTGTTATATATAATTGGTTCTGATTCTTGATTTTCTATCCCTATTACAATACCCAATTACTCTAATATGCGTGTCTTTATAGTACATTTTGATAGTCACCTGCTGTGTAATGTTTTGATGAACAACAGACCACATATATGATGGTGGTCTCTTAAGATTATAATGGAGCTGAAAAATTCCTATTGCCTAGTGATGTAGTAGCTGTCGTAACATTGTAGTGTAATGTTACTTACGTCTTTGTGCTGATGCTGGTGTAAACAAACCTGTGCTACCAGTCATATAAAAGTATAACATACACAATTATGTATAGTACATTATTGATAATGATAATAAACGATTATGTTACTGGTTTATGTATTTACTATATGATACTTTTTATTGTTATTTCAGAGTGTACTTTTTCTACTTATTAAAACAGCCTCAGGCAGGTCCTGCAGGAGGTATTCCAGAAGAGGGCGTTGTTATTATAGGAGATGACCCCCCCATGTTACTGCTGCTGTGCACCTCACTGTCAGACAGGATGTGAAGGTGGAAGACAGTGATATTGATGATCCTGACCCTGTGTAGGCCTAGAGTAATGTGTGTGTTTGTGTCTTAATTTTTAGCAAAATTTAAAAAGAAAAATAATTTAAAATTAGAAGAAAGCTTATAAAGATATAAAGAAAAAAGTGTTTTCGTACAGCAAGTGCAAATGTTTATAAACTTTATAATAGTGTGTATAATGTCCTAGGCCTTCGCATTTACTCACCACTCACTGACTCAGTCAGAGCAACTTCCAGTCCTGCAAGCTCCATTTATGGTAAGTACCCTATACAGGTGTACCATTGTTTATCTTTTATACTATATTTTAACCGTACTTTTTCTATGTTTAGATATGTTTAAATACACAAATATTTATCATTGTGTTACAGTTGCCTACAGTATTCAATACGATAAATGCTGTACAGGTTTGTAGCCTAGGAGCAATAGGCAATATCATATAGCCTAGGTGTGTGGTAGGCTATGCCATCTAGGTTTGTGTAAGAACACTCTTGTACAACAACAACATTGCTTGATGCATTTCTCAGAATATATCCTTGTTATTAAGCAATGCATAACTGTATTTGGTAAAATACAGAGATATTCCACATATTTTATTATGCTATTAAGCATCGTTTAAAATAATTTATGTCAGTTATAACTTGTTTATTCTTTCACATGAACATTGAAATCATTGAGTTTACTTCTTAAGCATTTCATTGGTATCTTCATTTAAATTGCCTTATGTTTATGTTATAAAACATACTAATAAACAGGTTTTCTTTTTTGGGCCTCAGTGAAGTTTGGTAGTTTTCATTATATAAGATGTTTTGCATTTCTTGTTAGGATGTTTCTTATGTATTGCATGTTTCTGATTATTGTTAAAGATGGAACTTTTTTCCTGTTAAATTTCTTAAGTGATTACTGTTGAGATCTATGTATATCTATTTTCTGTATCGATGTCAATATCTATATCTATATTGCTGATTTTTGTATCTTCTTAAACTAATTATCTTACTGACTTCTACTAGTACATTTTCATTTTGTTTACTCTGGTTTTTCCGTATAGAGAAGAATCACTTGAAAATAGAGACACATTTATCCCCATTTAACAATAATTTATTGTATATTTTAAAATAACTGAACAAATGGAATTGGAATGTTTCTAACACAAAAAAATGATAAATACTTGAGGTGATAGAGATCCCAATTATCCTGATTTGATCATTAGACATTGTATGCTTGTATCAGTATATCACATGTACTACATAAATGTGTGTAACTATTATGTATCTGTAATAATTAATAAAAAACCATCAATTAAAAAATTATTGTCCTTCATTACATTGGCTATAACTTACAGAAAAATGCAAAAGAGTAATGAGCACACTGCTCTTCTTCCTGAATTTAATGAGAGTGCACTCTGTATTTTATCATTAACCATAATATTGGCTATCAATATGCAATAACTATTCTCTATTAGATTAAGGAAGTTTTCTTCTATTTTCAGGCAGCTTTTGTATTTATTTTAATATTGCTTTCATTTTAATTATTTTTAATCTTTGCAATTATTGAAATAATTATTTTTAATCTTCAGAGGTATTGATGTGACTAATTAATTGACTGGTGTTTTTAACATGCTAGTGGATTAGCATGTTATTTATATTAATAGTGAGATTAGTTTGTGATTTCCTTTTTTGTGCTGTATTTATGTGTGGGCTTTGGTATTAGAGTATTGGTGGTTTGAGAAAATGAATTGGAAGTGTGCCATCTTTTTCTCTGCTCTGGAACAATTTAAATTGCATGTTAATTGTCTTTCCTTGAAGCTTCAATAGGACTCACTTGTAAAATTGTCTGGATATGATACAGCTTTTGGAGTTATTTCTTAGGCAAAAATTTCAACTTCTCCCATGGTTATTGATATCCAGATGAACTGTTTTCTCAAGTCATTTAAGTTTATGTGTTTTTAGAAAATCACACGTCTCATCCTTATTTTCAGGATTTTTAGCTTAGATTACTGTGTTTAAATTTCTTACACCATTATAACATACTTCTATATCTGTGAATAAAGCCTAATTCTTGCTTTTAATGTTTTGAATGTGTTTTCTGTTGTTTAAATCTGCAAGAGGCTTGTCCATTTTATTGATATTTGCAAAGACATTAGCTCTTGGATGTATTTATCAAATCTATTTTTATTTTCTAATAATTTCTCTTGATCTCTTAGGTTTTTCTCATCTTGTTTTTTGCCATTTTTAAAATTCATTTTCATTTTCTATTTTTAAAAATGAATATATTTAAGGCTATAAAATTTCTTCTGAAAATATTTGTCTCCATATCAATTTTGATTTGTAGATTTTGCTGCATTTATAGATTTAATAGCCTGTAACTGCATTTTTAAGCTTTTGTAACAAGTATAATTTACAAGCAAGAAAATACGTATCTTAAGGGTACAATTAGATGAATTTTTTAATGAAGTAAAATTTATACAGAGTGAAATGCACATATGTTAATTGTGCAGTTTGGTGAGTTTTGACAAATACGTATGTCTGTGTAACCAACACACCACCCAAGACACAGAACGCTTTCACTACCCCAAATGTTCTCTCATGTCACCTTCCAGTCAGTTCCAACTCCTCATGGACAATTGCTGCTGATTTCTGTCCCTACTGATTCATTTCATTGATTGTTGGGCTTTGTGTATATGAAATCTTACAGTATGTGCTCTTTTGTGTCTGGCTTCTTTCCCTCAGCAAAGTGATTTTGAGGTTAATCCATTGTGTTGCTTATATCAGCAGTTCATTCTTTTTTTTTTTTAATTGCTGAGTAGCATTCCATGGTATGACTATACCACAATTTGTTATCCTGTCTCTAGATGAACTTTTGGGTTGTTTCCAGTTTTTTGGCTATTATGCATAAAGTTGCTATAGGAATTCCTTTAAAAATCTTTCTGTGGACATGTTTTTATTTTTTGGGGGTGCATATTTAGTGGAATTTCTGGGCCAAGGGGTATGGTTAATTTTATCAGAAACTGACAAACTGTTTTCTAGTCTTTGTACCATATATATATTCCATACAGAAATGCATGAGACTTCCAGTTATTCCACATCAGTATTAATAATTGATATTGTCAGTCTTTTAAGTTTTAGCAACTTTATTGGGTACAAAGTAGCATATCATGTGTTTTTAATTTGTATTTGCTTGATGGATAATGATATTGAACATCTTTTTGCGTACTTATTGGCCATTCATATACTTTTGTATGATGAAAGGTTAGTTCAGTCCTTTTGTTCAGACAACCCATTAAAAAAATGGGTTGTCTGTTTTCTTTGTTATTTGAGTTGTAAGTGTTCTCCACATATTCTGGATATAAGTTGTCAGATTTACGTATTGTAATATTTTCTTCTAGTCTGTGATTTATCTTTTTTACAGTGTCTTTTGAAGAATAGAAGATCTTAGTTTTAATGCAGTTCATTTTTATCACTTTTTCTTCTATGGTTATTGCTTTTTGTGTTTTACTTAAGAAATCCTTACTTACCTAAATATTGTAAATTTGTTTTCTTCTTGCAGCTTTATAGTTTTGTGCTTGATCCCATCATTCATCCCAAATTAATTTTTATATTTGGTATGAAGTGGTATGAATTGGTATGAAGGAGAGGTCAGGGTTCATTATTTTTTCTCCCATTTGGATATCCAGTTGTTCCAACACCATTTGTAGAAAAGACTGTCCATTCCTTATGGAATTATTTTGGTGACTTTGTTGAAAATCAGTTGAGTGTGTTTTGTGGGTCTTTTTCTGGACTTTCTATTCTGTTTCTATACTTGCAGTTTGAAGCTTCTGTATTTGATACTCTCTTTGACCCCTGAATTATTTAGGAATATGCTGACATCTTTAACGACAACTCTAACTTATGACACAGAAAACCATTATTTTAGGGCCATGTCAGCAATGACGCCAAATAGTTATTCACCTGGGTAGGAATGTCCATCCTTTAAAGTAGTTCTGAAACCTAGCAGTATACTTGGGGAGTTTTTTTAAAACAATGCAGATTTTGGAACGCCACCCCAGACCTAATTTTCACTGTAGAAACTGGATAGTTTCTGTTTTTAGAAAGCTCTTCCAGGTGATTCTGAGACATCCAGTCAATTTGGAAGCCATTGCTCTAAGCACTACCCCTTACAGCAAAAAGCTGTTACTCTCTAAGCCCTCAGTGGATTCAAAGCTTTTCATTATTTCAGTGTACAGAATCAACCCTCAAGAAAGGGGAAGAGATAATTAGCCTGTTTTTCTCTCAAGCATTGAAATCACCACAAATCTCAGGTTATCTTTGAATGACCTTTTGACTTGAGAGAATATAATATTTATGGTTATTGTAGTATATTTAAGGTATTTTACAAGTTACAAAAACCATTGAATTCTGAATGACTGTTCTGCTGTTCAAATATAGTGACTTAAAAATTCATGGAGGAATCTTTGGGACTATGAAAGTCAGTGTCTTACTTATTTCAGGGCTAATGGATCAGAAAAGCTCCAAGAAGGCCAAGAGAGCTGTCAAATGAAGTGCACTGTAGCTCAAGATCAGAGAGAAGGGCTTTGGAGGTAAGAAGGGCTTTGGAAGAGACTTAGTATCTCAACGTATCAGTGAGAACATTAGAATGAATGCTGGTACTTTTTCCTGAGACAGAGAACAATAAAAGAAGTCCAGGGTTTGGCTGGAAAGAACATGAACTTGATGTGGGACATTTTGCTTTGGGAAATCTCTGTGCTGTCAAAAGTAGGTGCCAAGTAGTCCCTTGTGAAAAATCTTCTTTCACATTATTTGTCTAAGACAGTGTTTCCTAACCATTGCACTATTGACATTTTGGGCTGAAAAACTCTTTGTTGTGGGAAGCTGTCTTGTGCATTGTAACACGTTTAGCAGCATCTCTGGTCTCTACCCACTAAATGCCAGTTAGCACTCCTCCTAACTGTGACACATACAAGTGTCACATACTTGACACATACAAGAAATATGTGACCATTTTATATCTCTTGGGTGTTCTGTACTGTGCCTAGGTGTAGATTTACTTCTCTTTATGCTGCCTGGGACTCATTGGGAGTCTTAATCTAAGTATTCACATATTTCTTCTAGAAAATTCTTAATTATCTTTTCAAATTCTTCACTCCCCCCACAAAAGGCTCATTCTAGACTTTCTCATTATATACTTCATGTCTCTAGCCTTATTTTTATATTTCCATCCTCTTTGCACTATATTCTGAGTAATTTATTCAGGTCTATCTTCAGTTTCACTGTTTCTGTCTTCATCTTTGTCTAATGTGCTGTTTGACCCATCCACAGAATTTATAAGATTAGGGACTTTCTAAGATTATGAGACTTTATAATATTACTGTTATTTGCTATTTTAATGACTATATTTTTCATATCTGGAAGTATACTTTTGCCAACCTGTGTGATGTTTTTTCTAGTTTCTTCTTTCACATATATTTGATTCTATTTTGTAATTTTAAATGCTTATAGTTTTCCATGATGACTCTCATATGAATTCCTTGGAGATCTAATTCCATGAAATCCTTCTATTTTTGCTTATGGCAGATGGTTTTCTTGTGTAATTCTAGATTGTGATCTTATGATTGGTAGGACATTACCTATGAAAAACCTGTGTGGTTTGGCTTTTGTGTGAGAATTCAGAAAGAGTTTGATTTGTTTCTTTTAAGTTTCCCTGGGAGAATTATTATCCCCAGCTTGCTTACTTATTTATTTACTCTTTTAGCCACTGGGAGTGGCTAGGAGTGGAAAAGCAGTGAATACTGAGTCACAGTGGAGAAATGTGTCTTCAAGTCTCCCAGATAAAGTGGTCTTGGCACCTATGATTGGGCCTGAAAGATCACACATAGGATTTTGGCTAGGAGCTGCACTCCTCAGAGGTTAGATACCTTTTTTTTTTTTCATAAGAAATTGAGCAGGCCAAGAAAAAAGCTTCAGATGCTGCTATTTGGGGGTGTAAGTCCTGATGAATAGACCTGTTTGCCACCTTATCACTGCACAGTGAGATTGCCCTATTAATCAGTCCCATCCATATACATAGAGCATCCAGGTGGCTTTTTAAGTGAATATCATAATGGTATGAGGAGATGGCTAAGGATTTCAGGTATTTGATAAACATTTCCTGTGTGAAAGAGAAACCGAATAGTCACACAGATAAAAGGAACCTAGAAGAGACGGAGACAATTTCAAGAATAAAATAAAACTTTAAATAAAATGCGTATTAGTAATAAAATGAATATATTCATAGAAATCAGGGAAAATGTTGTATCCAGGAAACAACTGAATTCTGTGAAAAAGAACATTCAGAGAACAAGTAGGATCTTTTTAAGATGAAAAAAGTTGATGACTAAAAAAAAACCATGAATAGAAGTGCCAAAAGATATGTCAAGATAATTTTGCAGAAAATATAGCAAAAATATAAAGAGGTATAAAGTTTAAAAATTAAGAAGCTTAGAAGATAAATCCAAGAGATACGATATTGAAGTATCAGGAATTACGGAAGAAGAGAATAGAGAAATTGGCAGGGAGGCCGTTATCAAGGAAATAATAATACAATATCTCTGAAATTAAGAACACTGCTCTCTAGTTTGAAAAGGTCCATAGTGTATCCAATACAATAAATGAAAAAGTCCCTACTGTCAGACCTGATCTCTGCAGGGTAGTCTTGCACATCAGACAGGGCTGGTCTAACCTGAGCACTCTTTGGTCTACTGGCCTCTCCCATGGCCCCAGCCTGGCCTTGCCTGCTTACAGGGCAGTCTTGGGGGGCTCTGGAGGCCCACACCATAGCTTCTGTGCCTGTGGACTGTGCCTGACCAGTGGAAAGCTCCAGAGAGGTGGCCTCTATGGCCACACATCAGCCTGCAAGTTTCCCCCCTATACTGCAGCTTCCCCTGAGCCCACGGCAACTGCCCACATCACTTCATTGATGTGTGTCTGCAGGGGTGGGTTTTGCTTCATTTGCCCTGCCAGTAGCAGTGCAGTATGCAACCCCCCAACCCCCAGTGATGGCTGTTGCAGACAAATCTTTGGCCAGCACAGAGCCAGGAAGCCCCACCTAGCCAGAGCCCCACCCTTGCACAAATCCTGTACTGAAAACAGGGGATCCTCCTATACCCTGAGTGATCACTCCTGCTTATGGGGCACAGAGAAGGCATCCAGACCTGTGCCACCCCAAGCCAATGCCACCTCCAGTGCAACAGCACACACAGTCTCCAGCAGGGCCCCCCCACACCCTCACCAACTGCCTTGCCTCTATCGCTGTGGTGAACGCCCACCAGGGAAGCAGGTACCCCCACATTCTCTAGCACTATGCTGTTGCTGCCACACCCTGGCACCCCCAGCACAGTGGACTCCAAACCTTGAGGAGCTAGAGAACAAAGTCAGGCCCAGTACAAGTCCCCTACATTAGAACATGCACTCCAGGAGTTGGGAGCTGAGTGTTGGCCCCCTAAAATCTCCCAGAAATGAAGCCAGCTGGCTTAATATGCTTTATATCACAATCAGACCCTCAAAATCATCAAATAGGACAAAGGAAAAAAATTCAAAGATTGAAGGTAGATAAGCCCACAAAGATGAGAAATAATCAGCGCAAGGAATGCTGAAAACTCAACAAGCTCGAGTGCCTTCTTTCCTCCAAAGGATAGCATCATCTCTCTAGCAAGAGTTTGAAACCCAGCTGAGGCTGAGATGGCTGAAATGACAGAAGTAGAATTTAGTATATGGACAGGTATGAAGTTCAATGAACTACAGGAGTATGTTGTAACCCAATACAAGGAAGCTAAAAATTATGATAAAGCATTGCAGGAACTGACACACAAAATAGCCAGTATACAGAAGAATGTAGCTGTCCTGATAGAACTGAAAAACACACTATAAGAATTTCATAATGCAAGTATTAATAGCAGAATAGACCAAGCAGAGGAAACACTCAGAGCTTGAAGACTGGCTTTCTGAAATAAGACAGGCAGACAAGAATAGAGAGAAAAAAAAAGGAATGAACAAAACCTCTGATAAATGTGGGATTATGTAAAGAGACTGAATCTACAACTGATTGGTGTACCTGAAAGAAATGGGGAGAATGGAACCCACTTGGAAAACGTATTTCAGGATATCAGCCATGAGAACTTCCCCAACCTAGCTAGAGAGGCCAACATTCAAATTCGGGAAATGCAGAGAACCCCAGTAAAATACTTCACAAAAAGATTATCCCCAAGACATATGATCATCAGATTCTCCAAGGTCAAAATGACAGAAAAAATGTTAAAGGCAGCCAGAGAGAAAGGCCAGGTCATATACAAAGGGAAGCCCATCAGATGAACAGCAGACCTCTCAGCTGAAACCCTACAAGCCAGAGGAGATTGAGGGTCAATATTCAAAATTTCTTAAAGAAAAGAAATTCCAACCTAGAATTTCATATCTAGCCAAACTAAGCTTCATAAGTAAAGGAGAAATGAGATCCTTTTCAGACAAGCAAATGCTGAGGGAATTTCTTACCACCAGATCTGCCTTACAAGAGCTCCTGAAGGAAGCAATATGGAAAGGAAAGACTGTTACCAGCCACTAAAAAACACACTGAAGTACACAGAGCAGTGACACTATAAAGCTACCATATAAACAAGTCTGTGAAATAACCAGCCAACATCATGATGACAGAATTACATCCCCATATACCAATAATAACCTTGAATGTAAATGGGCTAAATGCCCCATTTAAAAGACACAAAATGGCAAGCTGGGTAAAGAACAAAGATTTATTGGTATGCTGTCTTCAAGAGATCCATCTCACATGCAATGACACACATAGGCTCAAAATAAAGAAATGGAGAAAAATCTACCAAGCAAATGGAAAACAGAAAAAAAGCAGGGGTTGCAGTCCTAGTTTCTAACAAAACAGACTTTAAACCAAGAAATATTAAAAAAAAAAAAAAAAAAGAAGTTAAAAAGTTCAAATGGTAAAGAGTTCAATTCAACAAGAAGATCTAGCCAACTTAAATACATATACACCCAACACAGGAGCACCCAGATTCATAAAGCAAGTTTTTAGAGACCTTCAAAGAGACTTAGACTCTCATGCAATAACTGTCAGAGACTTTAATGCCCCACTGACAGTATTAGACAGATCATTAAGACAGAAAATTAACAAAGGTATTCAGGAACTGAACTCAGCACTGGATCAAATAGACCTGATAGATATTTATGTAACTCTCCACCCAGAAACAACAGAATATATATTATTTTCATTGCCACATGGCACATACTTTTAAATCGATCACATAATTGGAAGTAAAACACTCCTCAGCAAATGCAAAAGAACTGAAATCATGAAAGACAGACTCTTGGACCACATCACAATCAAATTAGAAATCAAGACTAAGAAATTCACCCACAACTATACAATTACATGGAAATTGAATAACCTGCTACTGAATGGCTTTTGGGTAAATAATGAAATTAAGGCAGAAATCAAGAAGTTCTTTGAAACTAATGAGGACAAAGATATCACATACCAGAATCTCTGGGACACAGCTAAGGCAGTGTCAAGAGGGAAATTAATAACACTAAACACCCATATCAAAAAGTTAGATAGGTCTCAAATTAACAACCTAACATCACAACTAAAAGAATTAGAGAACCAGAAGCAAACAAATCCCAAAGCTAGCAGAAGGCAAGAAATAACCAAAATCAGAGCTGAACTGAAGGAGATTGAGACACAAAAAAACCCTGCAAAAGATCAACAAATCCAGGAGCTGGTTTTTTGAAAAAATTAATAAAATAGACCACTAGCTAGACTAAGAAAAAAGAAAAGATTCAAATAAACACAATCAGAAATGACAAGGGGAATATTACCACTGACCCATAAGAAATACAAACGATGACCACAGAATATTATAAACACCTCTATGTACATAAACTAGAAAATCTAAAAGAAATGGATAAATTCCTGGACACATACACACTCCCAAGACTGAACCAGGAAAAAATTGAATCCCTGAACAGACCAGTAACAAGCTCTGAAATTGAGGCAGTGATAATAGCCTGCCAACCAACCAAAAAAAAAAAAAAAAAAGCAGCTCAGGAGCAGACAGATTCATCGGTGAATTCTACCAGATGTACAAACAAGAGCTGGTACCATTCCTACTGAAACTACTCCAACAAATTGAGGAGGAGGGACTCCTCCCTCATTCTATGAGGCCAGCTTCATACTGATACCAAAACCTGGTAGAGAGACAACAACAATAAAAAAATAAGACTTCAGGCTGATATTCTTGATGAACATCGATGCAAAAATCTTGAACAAAATACTTGCAAATCAAATACAGCAGCACATCAAAAAGCTTATCCACCATGATTAAGTAGGCTTTATCCCTGGGATGCAAGGTTAGTTCAACATACACAAATCAATAAATGTGATTGATTCATCACATAAAAGAGATAAAGACAAAAACCACATGATTATCTCAATAAATATGGAAAAGGCTTTTTGTAAAATTCAACATCCATTCATGTTAAAAACTCTCAGCAAACTAGATATTGAAGGAACATACCTCAAAATAAGAGCCATATATGACAAACCCATAGCCAACATCATACTGAATGGGCAAAAGCTGGAAGCATTCCCCTTGAAAACCAACACAAGACAAGGATGCCCTCTCTCGCCACTCCTATTCAACATAGTATTGGAAGTCCTGGCCAGGGCAATCAGGCAAGAGAAATAAATAAAGGCATCCAAATAGAAAGGGAGGAAGTCATACTATCCCTGTTTGCAGACAATATGATGCTATATCTAGAAAACCCCATAGCCTCAGCCCAAAAGCTTCTTAAGCTGTTAAAAGAACTTCAGCAAAGTCTCAGGTTACAAAATCAATGTGCAAAAAATCACTAGCATTCCTACACAGCAACAACAGTCAAGCCAAGAGCCAAAACAGGTACAAACTCCTATTCACAACTGCCACAAAAAGAATAAAATACCTACGAATACACCTAACTAGGGAGGTGAAAGATCTCTATAAGGAGAACTACAAAACACTGCTCAAAGAAATCAGAGCTGACACAAACAAATGGGAAAACATTTCATGCTCATGTATAGGAAGAGTCAATATTGTTAAATGGCCATACTGCCCAAAGCAATTTATAGATTCAATACTATTCCTATTCAACTACCATTGAGATTCTTCACAGAACTAGAAAAAACTATTTTAAAATTTGTATGAAACCAAAAGTGAGCCTGAATAGCCAAGGCAATCCTAAGCAAAAAGAACAAACTGGAGGCATCATGCTACCTGACTGCAAACTATACTACAGGGCTACAGTAACCAAAACAGCAAGGTATTGGTATAAGAACATACACAGAGACCAATGCCACAGAATAGAGAACTCAGAAATAAGACCGCATACCTACAACCATCTGATCTTTGACAAGTCTGACAGAAACAAGTAATGGAGAAAGGATTCCCTATTCAATAAATGGTGCTGGGGTAGCTGGCTAGCCATATGCAGAAGATTGAAACTGGACTCCTTCCTTACACCTTATACGAAAATTGTCTCAAGATGGATTAAAAACCATCTTTAAATGTAAAACCCCAAACTATAAAAACATTAGAAGAAAGTCTAGGCAATACCATTCACAACATAGGCACAGGCAAAGATTTCATGATGAAGATTCCAAAAGCAATTGCAACAAAAGCAAAATTGACAAATGGGATCTAACTAAACTAAATAGCACAGCAAAAAACAAAAACAGAAACAAACCCTATCAACACAGTAAGCAGACAACCTACAGAATGAGAGAAAATTTTTGCAAACGATGCGTCTGACAAAGGTTTAATATCCAGCATTTATAAGGAACTTAAACAAATTACAAGAAAAAATCAACCCCATTAAAAAGTGAGCAAAGGACATGAAGAGACACTTTTCAAAAGAAGACACACATGTGGCCAACAAACATGAAAACAAAGCTCAACATCACTACTTATTAGAGAAATGCAAATCAAAACCACAATGAGATACCATCTCACCCCAGTCAGAATGGCTATTACAAAAAGTCAAAACAAACAAACAAATAAAAAACAACAACAGATGCCAGCAAGATTGTGGAGAAAAAGGAATGCTTTTACACTGTTAGTGGGAGTGTAAATTAGTTCAGCCATTGTGGAAGACAGTGTGACAATTCCTTAAAGACCTAAACATAGAAATACCAATCGACCCAGCAGTGCCATTACTGGGTGTATACCCAAAGGAATATAAATCATTCTGTTATAAAGACACATGCATGCATATGCTCGTTGTGACACTACTCACAATAGCAAAGACATGGAATCAACCCAAATGCCCATCAGTGATAGACTGGCTAAATAAAATGTGGTACATATACACCAGGGAATACTGTGCAGCCATAAAAAAAATGAGATCATGTCTTTTGCAGGGACTTGGATAGAGCTGGAGGCCATTATCCTTAGCAAACTAACACAGAAACAGAAAACCAGATACCACATGTTCTCACTTATAAGTGGAAGCTAAATGACGAAGACACATGGACACATAGAGGGGGACAACACACACAGGGGCCTGTTGGAGGGTGGAGGGTGGGAGGAGGGAAAGAGGATGAGTAAAAATAACTATTGGGTACTAGGTTTAATACCTGGATGATTAAATAATCTGTACAACAAACTCCCATGACACAAGCTTACCTATGTAACAAACCTGCACATGTACCCCGAACTTAAAATGAAAGTTAAAAAAGAGTAAGAGTCCCTAATCCTACCTACCCAAAGTCATGTTATAACACCATTATAAAGGGATGATTTTAAGAAGAAAGAAGAGAGAAAAACAGATAACATAGCATGTATTATGAATTATAATGGCACTGAACTCTGTAGTTACAAAAAACCAGCAAGTAATAGACTTTAAAGTTCTGGTGGAAAATTATTATAAATCTAAAATTCTAAACCCATCCAAATAATCCAACAAATGTAAAGATAGAATGAATACATTTTTAGATATGCAAGAAGTAAAAATAAAATTTTCTTTTCCATTTTATGTATTTATTTGAGACAGGGTCTTGCTCTGTCACCTAGGCTGGAGTGCAGTGGTGTGATCATAGTCATAGCTCACTGCAGCCTCGAACTCCTAGGCTTATGTGATCCTCCCACTTTAGCTTCCCAAGTAGCTGGGACTACAGGTGCACACCACCATGCCCAGCTAATTTTTAATTTTTTTTCATAGAGATGGGTCTCCCTTTGTTGCCCAAGCTGGTCTCAAAGTGATTCTCCTGCCTTAGGCTCCCAAATGCTAGGATTACAGGTGTAAGCCACCACACCCAGCCTTTCTTCCCTTTCTTAGAAAGTTTTTAGAAGATATGCTTGGGCCAAGTGGGCAGTGAAAACAATAGATGTTTCCTAGGGTAGTGGTGAAGGAGTCCCATGTTGATAGCTGATCCATGGTTAGAAAGCAATCATTGCCAACAGGAATACATGAATAAAGGATTCTGGGAAAGATTTCTGCAGGCATGAAGAGAGACTTGGCACATTGTCTGATAGTGCTGGTATTTTGGAAAATAAAATTTGGAGAAATTTGGCAGATATGATAGAGGATGTCAACAAATTAAAGATAAATACACAGAAAACCAAGCAAATAAAGACAATTATTAATTTTAGTAAAACAAAAAATTTATACATTTTTTGGGCAGAGAAAGGAAGGTGTACTACTTGGCTCAACAGATATTAAAATTTAATTAGTAATGCAAACACTAACTTGATTTAAAAACTGTACATAATTATAATGAGAAAATGTAGTAAAGGAAAATGAACTGTGTGAAGAGAATGAAATCTTCTACTACCAACCTAGGAAATTAATAGAAAATACCAAGATGGATAAACCAAGAAATAACAGTGTTGTAAACATTGTTGGCGACCTACTCAGAATCCTTCCTACTAACAATGTAGGGTGGCAATATGCTTACTGGAAAAAATATATGAATTTTCCTGCTTTTACTGCCACTAAGAATGGTTGTGTTACACATTCTGGCCAGTGCTGCATGATCAGAAGTCACTGGGTGGGGCTTCCCGGAAGCCTTGTTAGAAGTGGGCAGATGTGCCTGGAACGTGACTTCGCCTCTCACTCTTTGCCCTTCGTCTTCTTGCCTGGAACACAGTTGCATAGCCAGAGGGAGCACATCTCTCTTGAGACTCCGAGGCCATAAGCATGAGAAAGAAAGTCACATGTCAAGGAGGCTGAGCAGAAAGAGGGGTCTCAGAGAGGTCCTTGATGGCGTAATGGGGAGCTAGCTGCTGTCTCAGCCCTGGATTGCCTCTGGGCCTCTTTCACCTAAAAAATATCAACTCATCATTTGTTCAGAAAACTGAGATTCATGTAGCTGAACAAGATACATAAGCATGATATTTAGAAAGTGTGGTGGTAAATAGTTGGTATGGTTTGGATATTTATCCCCTCCAAATCTCATGTTGAAATGTGATCCCCAATGTTGGAGGTGGGGCCTGGTGAAAGGTGTTTGGCTCATGGGGGCTGATCCCTCACGAATGGCGTGGTGCCCTCCCTGTGGCTTTGAGTGGTACTGAGTTTAGGTGAGAGCAGGTTGTTTAAGGGAGCCTGGCACCTCATCTCTCTCCTGCTCTCTCTCCTGCCATGTGACATGCTGGGTCCTCCTTTGCTTTCCATGAGTGGAAGTTTCCTGAGGCCTCATCAGAAGCAGATGCTGGTGCCATGTTTATACAGCCTGTGAGACCATGAGCCAATTGAACCTCTTTCCTTTACAAATTACCCACTCTTGGGTATTCCTTTGTAGCAATGCAAAACAAACTTATATCATAGTTTAAAACAGTTAAAATAATTCAAAGTGGTTCCATCTGGGGGAGGGGAGAGCATGGTAGAAAGTGCCGGGATTTTTTTGGTATAGTTGATGCTATAGTTAGCTCAATTTGATGTTTTGGATACTGTGTATGTATAAGTTCAATAAAATACAAGTTAATAAGAAAAAAGAAAAATGTTTCGAATGGGATGCTTGGATAGCTTCCTGTTTTACTTGAAATAAATTCCAAACTCCTTTAATAGATTTTCCATGATCCAGCTGGCCCTGGACACCTTCCTGCTTCATCTTTTGTCACTTTCCCCCTGTCTAATTCCCAGCCATGTTGTCTTCTGTCAGTTTTGTGAACTCTTTCAGTACATGTCACATGAAGCTTCCTCTGGGTCAGTCAGGGTCCAGCAGGAAATGGATGTTAGTGTCAAACTTGGCAGCCACGTAAGTTTAATAAAGGGTGGAGTTGAAGGACACCAACAAGAGGTGATGCTGCACTCTGGGGCTCGCGACAGTCGGGAGCCATCCATCCTCAGGCTTAAAGGACTAAAGAGAGCAGCTGTGTGGGGAAGGTCACCTGATAGGACTGTGGCCTTCGGGAGAACAAGGCTGTGACCCAATATGTATTTGGACACAAAGATTGCCATGTTCACTGTTAATTAAAGTGATTGGGGCAGTTGTTAATAGGAAAACATCCTGTTTACTTGAACGTTGTGTTGGAAGGATTGTTTAATCTTGTGTGAAAGGCTCTGCCCTTCTGTGCTGTGTCTCTGGTAGTCACATGGGCCAGGGCCTCTCAGGGAACACGTTGAGGCCTCAAGCAGTAGAAGGCTTCTTGGGTATGCAGGTACTGGCACAATTCAGCACTTGAGTTTGAAACCAGAGCGCAATCAGTATTGACCTGAGAGGTGCCGCTGGAAAACTGGCCCTTGAAGATGATCCTGTCACAGTGTTGGTGTCTCGCCCTCCAGAGAGTCAATGCTCCTTCACTGGGGTGGGTGAGCAGCAGAGACAGGGGTATCTGACCCCCCCCAGAACAAAGTGAATCTGACCAGTTAGGTGCCATTGTTGAAGTTGATCACCTTTCCTGAAGCACCTGCCATCAGGGCTGGAGAGGACATCCTGGCCCTCAGGAAATCCCTGCCATATTGCTTCCTATGTCCCAAGTGGTCTCTCACCTCCAGCAGGATGTCCAGCTGGTGCCTCCTGTAGTGCGTGTCTCGAGGGTTGAGGATGGTGGCTGTGCTGTGTGCAGCACTGGTGGTTGTGTTCATGTGGGTGAAAGGTCTGGGTGGGATCAGCTGGTCTAGTTTCTCCATGATTTCCTTTATTCTTAGCTTAGTCTCTGCTGCTGAAACTTCTGGACACAGTGGTGCTTCATGGTAGGAGAGAATATTAGGAAGGTATCCCTGTGATGAAGAAAGATAGGCATCTCTTGTCCTCACCAAAACTGAAATGGCAAAGAATGTGACCTATTATGTGTATGAAGCTGAACCTGTCCTTATTTCATTAACCTTAATAATGCATTTATATCTTTATTCATATATAACTACTGAAGTGTTCAATCTAAAAATTGGCCATAATTAAAATGCTGAAAGTTTTGAGTAAATCACATGAGTCAGTTGTTCCATTTGTACTTTAACCGCTTATTCCATAGGATGTTAAAAACCCATTTAAAAAACCCATTGAACCTAAAAATATATGGCTAAGAAAAAATTGTTTGATTAAAAAATGGTTACAATAGCAAATTGAAAGAAGTAATTATTAAGAAATATTACAGCACTTCTGAGTCTTAACAGAATGAAAGGAAAAATCATAATGAAAAAATTAACACTTTCAACAGTGAAATGCAAAGACTTTTTGTAAAAATTCATTAAATTTTGAATCGGTATCATGTGAACATGGTACAAAACTCAAAAGACACAAAAGAATGAAGTGTGGAAATAAATTTCTCTTTCATTCCTGTCTCTTGCCACATAGTTTTACTTCCCAAATTAATCACTCTTATCCTCCTTATAAATACCTTTCTAGAGTCTATGTGTACATATGTATGTGTACATGCATATATAACATATGTTTTCTTTTTTACATAAAATGCATTGTTCTGTGCCTTGCTTTTTTATGTAATGATGTATTTTGAATGTCTTTTCATTTCACTACATACTGAACTCTCTCAGTCATCCATTAAGATGGATGCACAGCATTCTACTGTATGGATTATTTAAGCAGTCTCTCATTGCTGGACGTATAGGTTTTCTTAATCTTTTGCTATTACAGTATTGAAAGTATAATCTTGTATTTGCATCCTGGAAATGGAAGCTTAAAAGCATGCCCTGTTCTGAAAAATAGAAAGGTTTGTGTTTTTGTTCTAGTGATTATCTTTCTTTCTTTCTTTTTTGAGACAGGACCACTCTATTGCCCAGGCTGGAGTGCAGTGACACAATCATGTCTCACTGCAGCCTCCATCTCCTGGGCTCAAGTGACCTCCTGCCTTAGCCTCCCAGGTAGCTGGGACCATCAGCATGCACCACCACACCCAGCTAATTTTTTGATATTTTGTAGGAATGAGGTCTCACTATGTTGCCCAGGCTGGTCTCAAACTCCTGGGCTGAAGTGATCCTCCCACCTCAGTCTCCCAAAGTACAGGGATTAGAGGCCTGAACCACCATGTCCAGCTGTGATTTTCTTTACATAACACACAAATTTATATATATATTTACATAAAATACTTCATCTTTTCTTTATTCAGCAGTGTTTATTGACTCCCTAGCATAAACAGCGACTAAAATATTTATACTTCCTTGCTCCAACTTTTTCCTCTCTATGACTGTATTTTTTGCTTATTTATCTTTGTGTTCACATCTATTTTCTTAAAAGCAAGTTTTAATAAACTATATATTTATATGTATCTTGTTAATATATTAAGTAATATCTTTTAAAATGAGGCTAAAAATGTTAAGGAAGTATCTTCACCTGTCCTTCACCAACTTTTTTTATTTGCAACATTTCTGTATTGTCATAGTATATAATATTTACATTGTTTTCCCTTTATAATATCCATAGTTTTGTTTTATTTTGTTCTTTGGTTAGTACTATAATTAAGTGGATTCAGTACTTGTCATTATTCTGTTTCTAAGAGTCTTTATCATTTATCTCTTGTTTAGCTGAAGCTAGTCTTTTATTTTTTTTTAAAGAAGAGCTTATGAGAACTATATCCCCTGAGTTTGTTGTAATAGTTGGATTTTTAAAAAAGTTGAATCTATAAGTAACCTGGGATCTATTTGATATGTGGTATGAGGTGAGAATACAAATTAACTTGTAACCTCCAGTAATGTACAAGATCTAGAGAAACAATTTTGCTTATTACTTCTTTAACCTTCAGAAAGATGAAACTATCCAAGAAACAAATTAAGAATTAATATATGCTTTCCTTTGAGGAAACTGAGAGGAAACTGAGACTTCAAACAGAAAAACATGTGTTCAGAGAATTTGAGGGTGTAGCAGAGAAAATAGTTCAAATAATTAACTGTAGGGCCCTGGTTGGGAAGAAAAGGAAATTGGAACCAGAAGGGATCTGATAAGATGAAAGAAAAGGGAAGAAACAAGGAAACAGTGCCTAGCATTCGATCTATTTTTGTTTACTGAATCTGTGACTGAATTCAGAGTTTCTGGGAGGTGCAATGAGAATGAGCTTATAGGAAATAAAGAAGAGTAAGAGGCTGTGGTTAGAAAGTAAGTATGAAAGGGCAGTCTTTCTGAAGTAGAGCAATTCAGGTGATAACAGGGTTCAAGGTGTGGCCCTCAAAGTGGGTTGTCAAAACACATTAGATTTGCAGGTACTGGTATTTCAAAAGAAAAATCACCATAAAGCTTCAATTTTGAATTGATTTAGAGGGGACCTAATGGAAGGGTTTTGGGAAAAGATGAAGATTTAGCCAGATACCTGATCATTCAGTGAATATGAGGCAAACAATAGATGCTATGAGGTTAGTCCTATCTTATGTTCCTTTTACAGATTAGGCAATTAAGCAAGAAGATGTTAAGTAGTTTGCCTATAGCCACACAATTAATAACTACCAGAGTCAAAATTCAAATGCAGACAGTCTGTTGCTAAGCCTGTGATCTAACATTTCTGCTACCAGTTGTGTTTGGGGTGGGGGTGTGCTGTTGCTGTTAATTTTACTTGAATGCAATCCTAGGGTTGGTGGAGAGACTGAGGAGCACACAAAAGCTCCTGGACCAGATCTGTCTTATACTAGGTGTAGTAGGGACATTCAGGCAAGGGTAGGACACTCAAGAGCCTAATCAAGAGCAATTCAAAATTTAGTAGGAGTCTCAAGTTAAGAGAAAACAGATTTAACTCTATCCGTCTTGCTTACCTTGGTCTCTCAGATTACAAAATTATAGATACAGTGATGGAGTATCAAATCTTTCCCAATTAATAAAAACCTACATGTCCATAATTCATCACCAGATAATTTAATACTATGCTCTTGGTCTGACCTGGGATAGATTGAATTCTGAGATAGATTTTATTGCATAAGTGGAGAAAGCAAGCCTTATTATTATTATTATTATTGAAAAACTTTTTTGGAATTCAGATAGTTGTAAAAATGATCTATATAATGAGCCTTAACAGAAGTGCCACATTATTTTACAAATCATCTTATCTGAAAATAAGAGCACACGCAAGGAGAGGAACGGACACAAAGCCACATGAAAAGATGGTCCCTTTTGTACATGCTGTTCCTTCTGGAATGCTTTCCCACCTTTTTCCTCTGGGTTACTTTCTCTGTCCCTTCTCTTCTGCCTCTCTGAGCCCTACTTCTTCTTCTAGTTTTGGCTTAGATATCACTTCCTCTGGGACGCTTTCCCCAAGCCCCCATCCCTGGGGTGGGTGGCCCATGTGTTCACCCTGGCACCCTTCCATAGTGGGCATCATGCAGTATTGCAATAGCCTGATACTTACTGGTATTCTCTCTATATCATCGTTAATGAGGACAGGGACCACACCTGTCCTGTTCAGCGCTGTGTCCTCATCTCAAGGCCTACCATATAATAGTTGATGAGTAAATCCATGTTTATTGAATAAATGATTCTCAGACCAGAACCTTGTTCTTCCTTACAGCTGCTTCAATGTCTTCTCTGTTGGGATCTTTCAGGTTCTCAGTATATATCATTAGCATAATCAAAAAGGAGGGAACTTGAAGACAAGGCAATTAGTGGCTGTATGTAAATTTTTTGGAAGACCTAGGTTTCCTGCTTCTTAGATTATTTGTCCCTTCCCTACACAATAATGTCAGCTCCACATCCCTCCTCCCTTACCCAGAAATCAGGAGGTGGAAAGAAGTTCCATGATTATTCTCACTATAAACACAGCATTTTGGTCCCTTGTTCATAGATGATCATGGTGCTACTCTGTTTTATTTTGATTCTTCCTTCTCTCAGTTCACAGAAGATTTATTTTTGATTAATTTCTGAAATGTGCTGTGTCCCTTTTTTATGTACACTACCATTTATTTTCTGTTTTATGTCATGTTCTAGATACACAGAGATACAGCATCACTTATTTGACAAATATTTATTGCTTGCTACTATGTGCTGGGCCCAGTGCTAAGGACTAAAGATGAATAAAATGGTTCCAATCATGGAGCTGGGATCACAGCTGTGCATCTCCATGAAGGATGCTTCCTCCACTCTGGTGAGTTGGAAGAGAATAGAGAAACCAGAGGTTGGGGGTCAGGAAGTAAGGGGAGAAGGAGGCTTGGTGGGAAACTGACATCAAGGTGGCACACAGACCATTTAGGGGCCTTCATAAACCATGCCCTGATGGAGGTCCCAGCTGCACCCCTGGTGGCTCTGCTCCCACAGCTTTGCATCTGCTAGTCCTCCTCTTTGTTATAGCCACACAAGTACCAGGGGGAGGCACATGCCATGGATTACAAAGTGACCCTTAGGAATGCTGGGAACAGGTTCACAAGGTGCGTAGGTGCCTGGATGTCTTGGCTTCCTGTGAGGTTGGAGCAGGCTCTGTAGTATGCGATGATGGGACTTAAGTGTTCCCACCCTCTGGGTATAAATTTTGGGTTGAATGTGGCTCTCTGCTATTTGGTGCTTATCTTCACACCAGCACTCCTTTTTCCTTACCAAGAGCTGCAATTAACACGATTCAGGCTTTGAGACCAGAAACAGTGGCGGGAATCACTGTGCTCAGCAACATCTGCCTTGCCTCTCCGAGATCTGCTGAGAGGTACAGAAAACTTTAGGATTAGCTCAGCACATTCAGCCCCACAGCCATTGCTCTGTGCTCTAAGTGTTACACCTTTAGGCTGTAAAACATGCCTAGATAGCCAAAGGGCCACATGGAATATTTCAATGAAGGAAAATCCTATCTTTAAAGAAGATGCTGCCAGCTACCAGCCTCAGGTGAAGACTGGAAAAATAAACCTTGACAAAAAGGGAATGTTTTTACTGTATGTAAGAGCACCTTGTTTTTGTGAATGGGGTTCTTGTCTGGATGTCTGAAGATCTTTTGGATATATTTGGAAATTGAAATCTTAATTGTTGGAAACTGAATAGATAGAAGGGGGAATTGAGAAATGGGCAGACCATCACTTTGCTCTGAGGTATCCTTTGCTCTGTGGTGACACCTCAAGAGTGTCAAAAATCTTGACTCATCCAGGGAAGGGCTGTGAATTAACAGAAATGTTTTTGGGGAATAAAAAGGAAGCTTTTAACTCTGTGTTTGCAAATTTACTTACCTCAGCCCAGGAAGGTTAAATGTAAGTTAATTTGCACTTATATTGGATACAAGGTGAGAGAACTAGAAATTAATTTCTTGAGTTTACTGTGAAATTTTGAACATTTACATATTCATGCTATAAAGAAGTATTCCCTAGTTAATTTCATGCAAAGTGACAGCTTTTTCAACCTATTTAGCATATCAACAAACCACTTTTATTAGTAATGACAGGTGTATTAATAACAGGGACAAGATTTCCAGATTTCCTTTTCTTATAAGACCACAACCATTATTAACCCCAAGAACAAAACCAGAATGTCTAGGCATAATGTGACCAATTGACCCCACAATTTTGAGAAACACAGCCACACACGTTTTATGAGCCTTTTATATGACAAATGTTAAATTTGGATAACCATTTTTCAAATTATACATATTTTTCTAAAGATACTTTACAGAAAATGCTTTCCCCCCGTTTGGCAAAAAGGTTCATTCTGTGAGCCCACTGAATTCGTATTAATAATAAAGTACATTTCACTATCATATGCTGTTCTCTCATTGGTTCTATCCCATTAACACTTATTCCTGGTTGTAGATTCTGGAGCTTTCTAAAGAGATGGTAAAACCTCTCTCTAAAGAGATGGTAAATGTTTTAATAAAGTTCTCTTTGGGGGAAAAAGAAGCAAAACTTAGTCTCTTTCCTCAAGATGTTTACAAGCTATTAGAGATAACAGATACTTTTAAAAATACATGTTTTTGTTTCTTTTATGGAGTAAATGACAAAACACTGTGGAAACATTATTCTTTCCCGGGGTGTCAGGGAAAGCTTCACAGAAGAAAATAATTCAATCTGGTTTTAAAGGGTGATTGGGAGTTTGACAGGTGGAAGGAGGGGCAGGAGGGCATTCTAGTCAGAAGGAGCAGCGTGTAGAGTGGTGCAGAGGCTTCAGAGACTGATGTATTTGAACACGTATTTGTCTTGTGTGTGGGACATTTAAAGAATTTTGTGTATGTATCTTTTATTTTTTATTGCATACATTTAAGGTATACAGTGTGATGTTTTGATATACATATGCATAGTGAAATGATTACTGTAGTCAGTATATTAACATATTCCTCACTGCACAATTACCTTTTGTTTGTTTGTTTGTTTTTTGAGACAGAGTCTCGCTCTGTAGCCCAGTCTGGAGTGCAGTGGTGCCATCTCGGCGAGCTTGCCCGCTAATTTTTTTTTGTATTTTTAGTAAAGACGGGGTTTCACTGTGGTCTCGATCTCCTGACCTCGTGATCCTCCCGCTTAGGCCTCCCAAAGTGCTGGCATTACAGGCGTAAGCCACCGTGCCTGGCCACAATTACCTTTTTAATTGAGGTAGAATACCTAAAATCTAGTCTCTCAGCAAATTTTCCATATACAATATTAACTATAGTTCTCATGCTGTACATTAGCTCTCTAGACATTCATCCAATAGAACTGCAAGTTTGTACCCTTTGACCTACACCTCCCTGTTTTCTCTTCCTCCCAGCCTGGATAACTACCATTCTACCCTGTTTCTATGTGTAGTTTTTAAGTTCCATATATAAGTGAGATCAAGCAATATTTTTCTTTCAGTATTATTTCTTTCCTTCAATATTGTTATTTTACTTAGCGTAACGTCCTCCAGGTTCACCCATGTTATTGCAAATATAGCAGCATCTCCTTTTGTAAGGCTGAATGATATTCCATTGTACATATATACTGCAAATTATTTATCTGTTCATCTATTGATGGGCACTTATGTTGTTTCTCTGTCTTGGCTATTGTGAATAATGCTGCAGTGAGCATGAGAATGCAGATATCTCTATGAAGTGCTGATTTCATTTCCTTTGGGATACTCAGCAGAGGGATTGCTGGGTCATATGGTAGTTCTGTTTTTAGGGGAACTGCCATACTGTTTTCCATAATGGCTGTACCAACTTACATTCCCACCAAGAGTGTATGAGAGTTCCCTTTGTGTGTGAAAATATTACCATCTCCTCATTTTTAGCAGGCACCTATATATAATGATGACTTCCAAATTGAGCATCTTTCTTACAGATCTCGCTCCTTCATAGGTGGTGTTGTATACTTTACATTGCATCAAATCATGTAGGACATAATGACCAGTTGTCCTGCTGTTACAAAGCTTTAAAATTAATAAAGCTAAGTTTGAGCAGTGGATTCAGAAGTGACAGCCTGCTATATCCATAGTAAAGTTCCAATCAAACCTTTTAAAAAAGTTCATTCACTGATGATCTCTGCCTTATTTACTTATTTGAGTAGAAGTTTTTAAATGGTGCTTTCCTAATTCTGTCGTTCTTTCTGTATTCATTAGCTGTAATTCTTCCAAAAAGAAGAAATTTCCTTTATCTATTAGGGTTATTGATTTTCTCTTTAACAGGAAAGAGGATAAATGTTCATATATTTCCCTTTTGTTGCCAATTTTCAAAATAAGGGTTTACCCAACTCCACTTACGACACATGAGAGATTTTGCTTTTATTCTTGCATGTCTCTTTTTGTATTGCTATGACCTCATGGATTTTATATATTATGTATTTCAATTAACTGCAGTCATTAGTCTTTTTGATGCTAAAACTAATCTATCTATGGCCAATGAAGAGACTCCTTTGGGTTACCTCCTCTGTTCCATGATATGATTCCATTTGTCTTTGATTATTTGCTTTCTGGCATAACAAGATGTCCAGGCTCATGGTATACATATTTTCTGTTCCAGTCCTGGAATCAGCCTTCCCTTCAAGGATGCCTCTTTTCTTTTATTGAGGAAGGGTTCTTAGACATCACAGTTAGGGTGCTCGGAGTGATTATTGCTAATGGGTTATCATTGCTCCTAGGCCTTTTCAATAGACAGAGCTAGGAAATATCTATATTGGAAATAGAAAGCATCATGAATTTGTACAGATATTTTCAAATCAGCTTAATAACATGGCTTTTAAAAAACTTTTTTAATATTTTAAACGAGCATCAGAACCAGGCATGGTATAGTCATTCTTCATGAATGATTCTCTTGGTTTTGCATCCCTTATCAGTTGTCATTGTCCTTACATAGCCTTCCTCCCCAAACAGATTCTTTTAAATTTATTTTCCTTAGTTCCTAAAATGAGTAAAACTTACTTTACAATACATGTGGGATTATGTGCAGAGATTGGTTCCTAGTGATTTTGTATAGTATTTATCCCTTAGCAAATGTAGTTTAAGAACATGTTAATCTGATTTCCAATCACATGATCAGGTGGGTGGATAGTGTCAGTGCCATATGCAATGGTCATGTCCCAGGCATCAATGATGCCCACGTTGAGGTCTTTGAAAATATCCTTCATGATAAGATAGTGAATATAACCATGGAAGTCTCCAAACCTCTCTGTCTCTATGTGCATCTCCCTGATGTTTTCTGTCTTAATAATCACTTTAGTGGCTGGGCTTCTTAGGAACAGTCTTTCAATAGCCTTTTGAACACCGATGGCCCTGCGAATAAAAATGTCAATGGGAAATGGTCTAAAGTGCTGGCCAAAGGTGATGACGATGGCTGTGTTTTTGTCACCTGATAGCCGGTCAATTTCCCGAGGGATATAATCATGATCTATCAGAGAGTAGAGCTGGAAAGTGACGAAGGGATAGCTATGTTTTTTCCATTGAATCTGAGTGTGTCTTTCTGCATCCAGAAGCAAATGTTTCTTAAAGATTCCAGTTTCATGAAGATCAAAAAACTTCAGTGCTGATAAAAAAACAAATAGATGTTTTAAATAGAAGATAATGGTTAATATTCATGAAAAAGAATGTCCTATCATTTAAAATACCCACCCTACCTAGATAATTGCTCACTGGAGCCTTTCTACTCTCTAGGGTACAGTACCCCCAGTTCATACATGTAAAATGTCAATCAAAAATGTAAAGTTTTCACTGGAATTTTAAAAGAAGACCAACATTTCTTATGAAAGAAGGAATAAAATACATTTTAAATGTAAAGGTTCAAATCCAGAGAGCCAAATGAAGTAAAAAACAAAATAGCTCAAACGAGAGAATAGAGACCTCATTAAAAGTACTTTAAAACCAGCCTGAATTTCTAAGAGAATATAAAGTAACTACCTACTTTTTACAACTTTGGGGAAGTAGTAGATCCACTGACGTAGTGTAGAGTCTCCCAGGAGGTAAATGAGTTTGCCTTTCAAACAGCCATTTATCTTAATTGTGTCTAACTGAACCTGGTTGCAAAATGTTGTTATCCATTTTCCTTGTAAAGTATAACCACCAGGGACAGGAGGCTTCATTCCAACTTGGCATGTCTCTTCTATTTTTTCTCTCTCTGGTAACAAAGACACTCGTAAATGATTTTATTGGCAAAACTTAGACATCTAGCCTTCTTTCCTGGTCTTTCATTTTCTTGCTCTCTTTCCCCCTTCCTGTAATGCCTATTTCCTTTTTCTGTCCCTTTCTAGTCCTATTCTTTGATCATTAGCTTTGCTTCAGGCACTTCTGCTTATTCCTTTAAGAGATTTTGAGTCATCTTGCCTTCTGTCTAATTCCTTTCCTCCTAAATTTGGTCATGAGCTAAATCTTGACGTTCTATCCTTTCTTTGACGTTCTATCCTTTTTTCCTGACTCTGTGGTGACTTCTGTCTTTGTCTCTTACCCAAATGATGTTAGTGGTCTGCCAGTTGGTGCCGCTGTATAAAATTCTTTACCTTTGTTTCATTAATGAAGGAATGAATAATCTTAATTTTTCCGTGTTCAAAAAATGGCTTAAAATATGTACATTAAATATAAAAACCTCAAATAGTATAATAGTCACCTAGCTTGACAATTTTTTGTAAAACCAGACTTTGCTAAAAGCAACATGCAACATCCAATACAAACCAATATTCTGAGATAATCCAGGAAGTTTCACTAGAGTTTCAGGCTCTGTTTGCACATGGTCTGCCTTCTATTACAGGTAGGTAGCAGTGAAGCAAATGTCTTGTTATGGCATAACAAAGGGCATCCAATTTCTCCTGTCATGTTTCCTTACCACTCTCTATGCTGCCATCCCATCACTGAGCCAATGCCTTGTATTTTAGGATTTGTTATATCAGGACTTCTATACTGATACTACGTTCTGTATGAGATAGGAAACCAGTTTGAATGCTGTAAGAAAGACCAAGATAATAATGACTTAAAAATAAAAGATTATTTCTGTCTCACATAACAGGCCTGGAGTGAGAAGGCCAGGGCTAATATGCCATTGCATGGTGTCAGGGACTCTTGTTCCTTCTATGTTGTGGCTATGACATTCTTACTGTGTGGCTTTAATCTCATGGTCTAACTTGGCTCTTGCTGTTCTCACATTATATCTAAAGTTCGGCTAGTAGTAAGGGAAGAAATGGATAGGGAGGGCCAGTTGTTTTGCTTTTAAAGCATGACCTAGAAGTTTCCCACTTGCACTTCTGGAAAAAACTTAGTCATGGCCACAACTAGATATAAGAAAGGATAGCCATGGGTCTAGCCACAACTGGTTTCTATTACTAAAGAAGGAGAAGGCAGTGAGTATTGGGGAACCATCAGCAGTTTCTGCTTTACCCTCCTTGCTTAGTTCCTCAGAGGCCTTGCAGTCTCTGGCTGCCTATGTCCACAGAATAGTGCATCATTACATGGTTGTATTGTATTTGTAACCTATGGACAAAGTGGTAAAATGGTGCTGGTGGCAGAATTGGAAAGTGCACTTGGAATAGCTCTTAAGTCCTGGTGATTTGGCTTACTAAAGGGAGTTTGTATAATCCTATAATTATGTTGGAATTACAGTGTGATATTGATGGGTTTCTATGAGGCTTGATAGCATTGCACCCTAGATGATTGAATACCATGACCCTGGAAACTTGAGATTCATAGTTATTAAGTATTCTTTATCCTAATAATGTACTGGCACACTTTGCTGAGAACATAGCCTTTAAGTGTATTGTTGTAAACCCTATGTTGTGTAATCTTTATGTGTCAGGTATTCATTTTGCCACGTCTCAAACTTATAACAAATTTGCTTATGATTACTCTTACATGTTTATTTTACTTAATAGTTTTAGAATAAGCTTGAGCATTTTGAACAGTATGTGGGTAATAATATCAGGATTCTGTATATCAGGCAAAAGCAACTCCATTTTAGATGCTAATCTGCTATGTTGGCTCCTGATTAACCCCGGTTTATCTAGTGTTTCTTGTATAACAGCAGATAATTATGGTAAATCTTGCCCGTAGGTCAAACAGCCTTGGTGGTATTGTACTTCAATTGTCCTGTACATCCCATCTGAACCACCCTTCCCTTATGCTCTGTAAGCCCTAGATCTGGGGGTAATGGTGTGGAGATCCACCATCTTGTCTCAACAATGGAGACATAAACATGGCTTCTGCTTGTAAGTCCCTACTAAATGTTTCGAGAAACTGGATGTGTCAGACTCTTTTTTGGCCTCTCAGCTTCCTCAAACTTTGGGAGTAGGTTTGCATAGACCTGCCCACTGAGAAATAGATTCCATTATATTTTTTATTAGATAGGGAGACTAATAGTCCCCCAAAGATATCCACATCCTAATTCTTAAAACCTGTGAATATGTTGAAGCAGAAGATATAAAAAGAAAAACAAGTTTTCCTGTACTAGGCTGACCCACTCTAAGACCCAGGGAAGGGCAGGGCTCTGATGAGGCTTTGGTAGCATTATCTGCAGAGCCGGGTCCCAGAAGGGATGGGCTTCAGAGTCTCTCCCTCCCATCCCAAAGCAAGGTTGGGAAAAACAAGTTTTTCTCATTCAGCTTCCCCCTTCCCCCCTTACTATTCTTAAAATTATCTTTGCAAGTTTTGTAAGTGCCTGTTTTTCCCTTCTGTGCAGCACAGTGAAGGTCACAACATATGCCTGAGTTGCAACACCTGGCTTGAGTTGTAAAACCTGTCACTGTTTGATAAACTGCCTTTGTTCTGCTTCTGTAAGCTTGCTTGCCCGCCCTGTAGGTTTTGCACCATTTAGTGAAGTGTATATTCAAGCTAGCCAATACCCTTTCAGGTACATGTATAAGAGTCAAGCCCTGTCTTTGTTCGGGGCTCAGCCTTTGGAAGTTAATCCACTGGGCAGGTAGCCACCTAAATAAAATCCTCTTATTCCATCCATTGGTCTCTCCTGTCCCTTAATTCCCACAACAATGTTGCCTTTTCCAGTTATGACCAGGGTATGGCCTTTGAGATGGAGAGACTATCCTGGATTACATGGGTAGGCCCAATCTAATGTCATTGGTCCTCAAAAGTGGAAGAGGGAGGCAGAAGAGTGGGTCAAAGATGTGACAGGAAAACTTGACCCTCTGCTGTGGCTTTGAAGATAGAGGAAGAGGGCTGCAAGGAATGTGGGCAGCCTTAAAAACCTGGAATAAGCAAAGGAACAGATTCTCCCCTGGAGCCTCCAGGAAGGAACATGCTCCTGCTCTACCTTGGGATTAGCTCAATGAGACCAGCATTGGACATCTGGACTACAGACTATAAGATGATATATTTTTGTTTTTTAAAGCCACTTTATTATAGCAGCAATAAGAAAATGATACATAGACAACTGACATTCTTTTAAATATAAAATCATCCCATCTAGAGACAGTATTTTTTCCTTCTATTTATATGAATTTTATTTTATATTCCTTAGTGACATTTTAAATTGCCTTTCTGCAGATCATGCTTTTGTTAAATTGTGAATTTGCATTTTAAACCACAAAGTGGATCATACCACTCTCTTCCTCAGTTGGTTTCTGTGGCTTTCAAGTCTACTGAATAATCACTGAAATCCTCAGCATGACACTTGAGAACCTTCATGATTAGGTTCTTCCTCTCTTTCTAGGCTTATCCTCTGCTGCATTCCACAATATGCTCACCCCATTGGCCTATTGAAGAAGTCCATGATGACTTTGCTCATGACGGGAATTATCAGGTAAAAAGAGTTAGATAAAAAATACAGGACACCGTATTAAATTTGTATTACTTCTAACAAGGAATAATTTTTTAGTGTAAGTATGGTCCATGCAATATTTTCCCCTTTTCTCAATGTATATATGACAGGCAATTAGAAATTACTCATATTCATTTGATTCCCTGTATTATTATTTGCTTAAATCCAGCAACACTACCCATGATCTTTATGAGGTTTCTCTTCTTCATTCTCTGACTACACGTATCCTTCAGGACTCAGTCAAATACCAACTTTAACATAAGCTCTTTTGCCTCTTTACTGTCTTCATAGAGTTCGTAGATTGAATGTCTTTCACATTGCAAGCTAACTGAGCATTTACTTTTCTCCATTTGTCCATAATGCCTGATATCTATTCAGTGCTCAGTAAATGTTTGCTGATCCTTTTGTAGTTCAGAATCATGATGATTGGGTTTTCATGCTCATGTGTGAGATGTGCCTCCCTCAAACCTTGTTATGACATCAGCACATTACCCATATGATGTGAGGAAAAATAAATAAATAAACATTTGTGGAATAAATGAATAAATGGTGGCAATAAATTATTATGAGTTGAAGTAAGTATCATGATGGATGTTATCGGTAAACTAAGATAGACTTTATAAAAAGTTGTTTTAAAGCTAAGGTAGTATAAATATTCTTTCATAAGTAACAGGGCTTTGTGTTTGTCTTTAAAACATATAATCAGATGAAAGCTCCATATAAAATTGGTAATTGCATCAACTAAATGTTAGGGGGTTATGCCAACAGAGAGTTAGGAAACCAAAACCGAAAGTGTTCCTATTCTGAAGCTGTAGATATCCGTCCTTCAAAGACATTTGCACAGTGCCTAAGACTCTAGGAGATGAACTCTCAGGTTTAAACACGAATGTAGATACTAATACTTTCTCCTTTTGGATATATCAAGATGTAATCTCCTATAAACATTTTGAAATCATTTCCTTGAGTTCATTTCTCCCTTTAAAGTCCAGCATGATTGACATCATAGACATCTGCTAGGAATTGTGCTCCAGGAGAACTACAATTATTTAGGTTAATGCTGATAAAAGTTTCCTCTGAGCATCACCTAACTCAGGACAGAGCCAACTTACTGTTACAATTAGTGACATCAATGTGTTTACGATCCTTCATCATTTCAACTCCCACTTTGGACCTTCAAAAAAAAAATAGAACAATAAATTAGCCTGCTCTCTGCCCATGTAACACAGGTGAATCATCTGCTTGTGAGTGAAGGAAAATTTTTAGTTTTCTATAACTGGAAGCTGTTATTATTGTTGTAAATTTTAGATATATTGGGTATTGTAAATGAGTGAGGATTTTGGAAGACTTTCTACCCTGCTGAGAGCACCTGAAGTCCAAAGCAGCTCTACCGATCTGCCACATGTAATCAGTGTGTCCTGGAATTTTAGATTCAAAATATTTATCTAATTTACAAGTTCTCTTCTCTCTTTCTGCTTCCACATCTCCTATTCAAGTTTGCAGAATAGTTTCCTTGGATTACTGTGAGCCTCTAATTGGTCATGCAAGTCTCAGTTTTATCCCACCTAAATTTTTCAATACGACTGCCAGAGCACCCTTTCTCATTGCAAATCCAACTGCACTACTGCTTACATCCCTTTATTGTCTCCCCATCATGTACCCAAGGAATCCAGCCTTTTTGGGTGGCAGGTAGACCTTTTATCAGAGGGCCTCTGCTTCATTTTTAATCCACATTTCCTGCTATGATTACCTTTGACTTTTCTGACAAACTTGCTTTCTGAAGATCATAAGCTTTATGAAGGAAGGTAATGTGTGTGTCTGGTCCACTGCTGTATCCTTAATATCTATCAAAGTGACTGGCAGAAAGTAGTGTTGAATCCGATGTGTTAATAAATGTACCTTACATTTCTTTCCTCCAATTGATGAAAGATCACTCTTCCTGCTTGAAAGCTCTTACTCACACTTTGTTTCAAACCTCTGTATATGGCCATGAAAGTGGAGGAAGGAAGAAAGGGATTAAGGGGAGAATGAGGACCCAGGTGCCAAGTATAACAGATATAAGTGGTACCTGATTTCCTGCTATAGATGTCTCTCCAGGTGCCATCCTGAGAAGAGAAAGGATCAGCATGTTTTCATCCTTACTAGGATTTAGGCATAAGGATGGTTGATGGGTAGGAAGAGATTTGATGAGATGTACCATCAGAGATAAAAGGGAGGGAACAGAAACTTAACTGTGCTTTTACTTTTCAGAAGGGAGCCAGGGACTATAGATCAGGAGCCAAAACTTGGATAATGAGGTAAGATTCTGGAATGCATGTTATTTTGTCATGTTTGGTGCCTACTCTTAGCATATTTTTTTTGAAAGCTTATGGAAAAAAGACTCTAAACTTGACTTTGAAAACTGCTAGAAAGGGATTTCTGTGAACCTAGCATTCTACTCTGTCACCAAGCTGAGGAAAAATAAATCTTCGTGGGGGAAAATAAAAGGGTACTGGCAGAATTGAAAGAGAAAAGGAAATGGACTGAGCCTCTGAGACTTATGCAAAGTTAGCAAATGAGCAAAAGTCTCTGGAACTGATAGAAGTCTTAGGGCTTGGCTCACAGTTCTGGGATTTGTGATAACAGATAGTTATCCTTTGCAAATCCTCAAAGTAGCCCATGAAGGAACCCTGATGTTTCATTCTAATCAACAAAGTGGTTTTCAGGTTAGTGGATAACAGGGAAACCAGGAAGTGAGCCTCTGTGAGTCGGGGGAGAAAAGCATGGCATTGCCACAGCCATGATTGATAGAGGAAACATGCTTCCATCCCAGTTTGTGGAGGCCTGTTGAACCAGGGGTTTGCAGGAATCACTAGGTCACAACATGAGGAGTAAGAAGGACTCCTCCACCCTGAGAGGTATATACTGAGGAATATCTGATCATGGGATCAACTGGAGAAAACCAGTAGGAATTGGCTTTTTAGAAAGATCACTCAGTGTAGAGAATGGATTAGAGAGGGTATGACTGCTGGGAGAGAGACCAGTTGGGAAGCTGGTATGGGTAATCTAGATAAGATGATGATGGTCTGAACTTGAATAGCAGCACTGTGCGTGGGGGGAAATGGATCAACGCAAAGATATTTAAGGGGCAAAATTAACAAAATATGATATGGGAGGTGAAGGAGCATGGATGTTATCATACACTTATCAAGGAATCTTTTTTTCAGTGGAACATCTGTGAACACATAGAAGAACGGTTATAGCAAAACACATGACTGAATGGGACAATATAGTGAAAATGCAAACTTTGGCCTAGAGTGGTGAGTAGAGGCCCCAAGAAGACACCACATGTCTTACCTTGAGTACAGGAGGCCTCTGAGTCATGCTCAATGTTGCAATGGGCAATGTAGCTCTGACTGGGGCACTTCTCAGGGGACACTTCTCAGTATACATGAAAAGTATACTCACCTGTGGAAAAGGCTGTTTTCCTTGTCTGTAAGATAAGATACCTCTCTATTCCGGGTGGTCATGTAGGTCAGAGCCTCACAGGGCATGTGTTGAGGCTTCATACAATAGAAGGCTTCTTGGTCTCTGTCATCCAGATATTCACAGAGTTCAGCATTTGAGTTTAGGGTCAGGCCACATTCAGTGAAGACATGAGAGGTGCCATTAACAAATTTGCCTTTGAAAATAATTTTATCATAGCCTTGGTTCCTTGCCCTCCAGAGAGCCGACGCCCCTTCACTGGGGTGGATGAGCAGCAGAGACAGGGAGACCTGGCCCTCCCAGAACAGAGTGAAGCTGACCAGGTAGGTGCCATTGTTGAAGTCCATCACCTTTCCTGAAGCACCTGCCGTCAGTGCTGGGGAGGACATCCTGGCCCTCAGGAAATCCCCACCATATTGCTTCCTCTGTCCCAAGTGGTCCCTCACCTCCAGTAGGATGTCCAGCTGGTCTCCCCTGCAGTATGTATCTCGAGGGTTGAGGATGGTGGCTGTGCTGTGTGTGGCACTGGTGGTGGTGTTCACATGGGTGAAAGGTCTGGGTGGGATCTGCTGATCTAGTTTCTCTATGATTTCCTTTATTCTGAGTTCAGTCTCTGTTAGTGGCTTTAATGGTATCAGTGATGTTTTAGGGAATAAGGACTTTGCGGAGTTGTTCCAGTAATGGACAGAGATGGATAAGTTTAGAGCAGACCAAAGCTGAAATGACAAGGATTGTGATATACTATGAAATTAACCTGTCTAATCATTTTTACTTATTATGAGTTTGAATATTTGTTTACAGTGAATATTTGTATAATTGAATTCAATTTGTTACCAAATTGAATATTTGGTAATAAAGTGGCATAATAAACCAAAAGAGAAGAGAAACAAGGAAATGAGATATTATGATGATGATATAATATTATTATATATTATTATCAATATTATTTAAATTGTGATAATTTTGTATAAAATGTAAACATTTATGCTTTTACCTCAATATTTTAGAGAATGTCTGAACAGTTGTAGATATATTCAATCCAAAATATATAGCTCAGAGAATAATTATGAGCAATAAACTGGTGATGATAAGTTTACTCTTTCTTTTCATATATGCCTTACATCCAGTAACATCTGTACCTTTTAGTCATGCCTAGTAGTCTTTTTCTCTCCAGCTGTATCACAGTTCAAGCCACCGTCATTTATCTCCTGGATTATAGTGGCCACCTCAAGGATGATGACTGTCTTCAGGCTTCAAGGAAGACAGTCCTGCTTTCTCTCCATTTAATTTCCTCTTCTGTTGCTAAACCAGTCCTTTTTAAAGCAAAACTCTATTTGTGTCATCTCCCAACTTAACCCCCTTCAATGGCTTCTTGTAATTCTTGGGTAAAATCCATTTGTAATATGGCTTTTTCTGTGGCCTATTTTCAACTCTACTTCTTGCTACTCTCTTCCTTGCTTTTGATGTCTTGACAAGACTTCTTTTATTTTTAGGAGCTGACCTTCCTGTCTTTCAGCTCTTGCTCTTTACTAATACTTTCTCCTCTTCCTGGATTGCTGAATATCCCCTGAATTCCCCCAAACCACCTAAACATCTCTTAACTTCTACCTTAGAAATCACTACAACCTCAGAGGTCACTTATGCTTTTGGCACTATACGGTGCTTTATAAGCACTCAAATTCAGTGATTTTCCAATCTTGCTGGTAGTCAGAAACACCGGCCAAGCTTTTTTAAAAATATGCACTCTTAGGCTTCAGTCTAGATCAGCTGATTCATAATCACTACATTATGTTGTCCAGGAGTATGTTTTCCAAAAGCCTCAAAAGCAATCTTAGGATCAGATAGATTTGAGAATGATTACAGACCAGTAGTTGTCATCCCCTCTCACACTTTAGAACACATATAAAGCTTTGAAAAAAATTCAGGCCTGGCTGCACTGCACCCCAGCATTGGGCAATAAAACCCTTGTGATTGGTAACAAACTGGCAGAGTAAGCCAAAGGAGAGGAGAAACAAGACAATGAGATATCATTTAAAAAAGATGAACAGAACCCACATTGAAGTTTTGAAAAAACCTTGGCAAAGCCAAAAGACAAATCATTGGCAATGCCAACCAAGAAATAGAGATGCAAATAAATGAAATTCCCCCAAAAGAACCTTTTGGTTCTCTGGAAAATATATATCTGGAAAATATAAAAAACTTACATTATAAAATAGATAAAAATACAATATAAAAATAGAATAGAAAATAATCATGTAATATATAACAGTAAGAATAAGAATATAATCATCATGATGATAAACCTTTTTCTATTTTTCCCACCTCCACAAGTCACAGGCTGAGATGCTTTTATTGGTGAGTACAGACATCCCTAACTTATATAACAAGGAAAAACAAACCAATTAATTTTATAAGAATGGAATATATTTTATACTAAAACTAGGTAAGTATGATACAAGAAAAGTACAGGCCCATTTTATTCATGGAGATGACTTTTAAATTCTCTGTCTCTTTCTCTCTGTGTGTATGTGCATATATGCATATACATATAAAAGTATATAGGTAGATTAGATAAATATATACAGGTGTGTGTGCATTTGTCATGGTTGATTATGGGTGAATTCAGGGTTGTAAAAATGGTTCTAGAGTGAAAAATCTTGTAGTATAATTTATATATTAATGGATTAAAGATAAAATCTCATGATTTTTCACTGTTCTCAGACTTATCTGATTGGATTGCAGCTGCAATAAAAGGATTTGATGTATTTCAACATTTACTTAGCATTACAATTCAGTAATAGGAAACCTTAAACATTTTAAAAGTCAAGGAGGCAAGGATGTTAGCCACAATTAACTGAATTAATGTTCAACATAACGTTAGAAGTCCTGAACAATAAAATAAAACAAACAAACAAAAATCCAAGGTATGAGAATGATGGGGGGAGAAACAGACTTTTTTTCCCTTCTTTTCTTTATTTTTTATAGATGTTGTGACTGTTTGCAAAGAAACCAGAGTTAGCAAATTATTAGTATTAAGATAGCAAGAAGCCGAATACAAAACAAACTCACAAACTCAAAAGCATTTAAATTATAGACAATACATTCGAGCGGGGTGGAGCCAAGATGGCAGAATAAGAACAGCTCCAGTCTACAGTTCCCAGCATGAGTGATGCAGAAGACGGGTGATTTCTGAATTTCCAACTGAGGTACTTGGTTCATCTCATGGGGAGTGCCGGACAGTGGGTGCAGGACAGTGGATGCAGCACACCGTGCATGAGCTGAAGCAGGGCGAGGCATCGCCTCACCCGGGAAGCACAAGCGGTCAGGGAATTTCCTTTCCTAGTCAAAGAAAGGGGTGACAGATGGCACCTGGAAAATCGGGTCACTCCCACCCTAATACTGCGCTTTTCCAATGGGCTTCACAAACAGCACACCAGGAGATTATATCCCGCACCTGGCTCAGAGGGTCCTACGCCCACGGAGCCTTGCTCATTGCTAGCACAGCAATCTGAGATCAAACTGCAAGGCGGCAGCAAGACTAGGGGAGGGGCACCCACCATTGCTCAGGCTTGAGTAGGTAAACAAAGCGGCCGGGAAGCTCAAACTGGGTGGAGCCCACCACAGCTCAAGGAGGCATGCCTGCCTCTTTAGGCTCCACCTCTGGGGGCAGGGCACAGACAAACAAAAGACAGCAGTAACCTCTGCAGACTTAAATGTCCCTGTCTGACAGCTTTGAAGAGAGCAGTGGTTCTCCCAGCATGCAGCTTGAGATCTGAGAATGGGCAGACTGCCTCCTCAAGTGGGTCCCTGACCCCCAAGTAGCCTAACTGGGAGGCACCCCCCAGTAGGGGCAGACTGACACCTCACACTGCCGGGTACTCCTCTGAGACAAAACTTCCAGAGGAACGATCAGGCAGCAGCATTTGCGGTTAACCAATATCCGCTGTTCTGCAGCCACCACTGCTGATACCCAGGCAAACAAGGTCTGGAGTGGACCTCCAGTAAACTCCAACAGACCTGCAGCTGAGGGTTCTGACTGTTAGAAGGAAAACTAACAAACAGAAAGGACATCCACACCCAAAACCCATCTGTACATAACCATCATCAAAGACCAAAGGTAGATAAAATCACAAAGATGGGGAAAAAACAGAGCAGAAAAACCGGAAACTCTAAAAATCAGAGCGCCTCTTCTCCTCCAAAGGAACGCAGCTCCTCACCAGCAACAGAACAAAGCTGGACGGAGAATGACTTTGACGAGTTGAGAGAGGAAGGCTTCAGAAGATCAAACTACTCTGAGCTAAAGGAGGAAGTTCGAATCAATGGCAAAGAAGTTAAAAACTTTGAAAAAAAATTAGATGAATGGATAACTAGAATAATCAATGCAGAGAAGTCCTTAAAGGACCTGATGGAGCTGAAAACCACAGCACGAGAGCTACGTGACAAATGCACAAGCTTCAGTAACCGATGTGATCAACTGGAAGAAAGGGTATCAGTGATGGAAGACGAAATGAATGAAATGAAGCATGAAGAGAAGTTTGGAGAAAAAAGAATAAAAAGAAACAAAGCATCCAAGAAATATGGGACTATGTGAAAAGACCAAATCTACGTCTAATTGGTGTACCTGAAAGTGACGGGGAGAATGGAACCAAGTTGGAAAACACTCTGCAGGATATTATCCAGGAGAACTTCCCCAATCTAGCAAGGCAGGCCAACATTCAAATTCAGGAAATACAGAGAACGCCACTAAGATACTCCTAGAGAAGAGCAACTCCACGACACATAATTGTCAAATTCACCAAAGTTTAAATGAAGGAAAAAATGTTAAGGGCAGCCAGAGAGAAAGGTCGGGTTACCCACAAAGGGAAGCCCATCAGACTAACAGCTGATCTCTTGCCAGAAACTCTACGAGCCAGAAGAGAGTGGGGACCAATATTCAAAATTCTTAAAGAAAAGAACTTTCAACCCAGAATTTCATATCCAACCAAACTAAGCTTCATAAGTGAAGGAGAAATACAATACTTTACAGACAAGCAAATGCTGAGAGATTTTGTCACCACCAGGCCTGCCCTAAAAGAGCTCCTGAAGGAAGCACTAAACATGGAAAGGAGCAACCGGTACCAGCCACTGCAAAAACAAGCCAAATTGTAAAGAATATCAAGGCTAGGAAGAAACTACATCAACTAACGAGCAAAATAACCAGCTAACATCATAAAGACAGGATCAAATTCACACATAACAATACTAACCATAAATGTAAATGCGCTAAATTGCTCCAATTAAAAGGCACAGACTGGCAAATTGGATAAAGAGTCAAGACCCATCAGTGTGCTGTATTCAGGAAACCCATCTCACATGCAGAGACATACATAGGCTCAAAATAAAGGGATGGAGGAAGATCTACCAAGCAAATGGAAAACAAAAAAATGCAGGGATTGCAATCCTAGTCTCGGATAAAACAGACTTAAACCAACAAAGATCAAAAGAGACAAAGAAGGCCATTACATAATGGTAAAGGAATCAATTCAACAAGAAGAACTAGCTATCCTAAATATATATGCACCCAATACAGGAGCACCTAGATTCATAAAGCAAGTCCTTAGTGACCTACAAAGAGACTTAGACTCCGACACAATAATAATGGGAGACGTTAACACCCCACTGTCAACATTAGACAGATCAACGAGACAGAAAGTTAACAAGGATATACAGGAATTGAACTCAGCTCTGCACCAAGCAGACCTAATAGACATCTACAGAACTCTCCACCCCAAATCAACAGAATATACATTCTTTTCAGCACCACACCAAACCTATTCCAAAATTGACCACATAGTTGGAAGTAAAGCACTCCTCAGCAAATGTAAAAGAACAGAAATTATAACAAACTGTCTCTCAGACCACAGTGCAATCAAACTAGAACTCAGGATTAAGAAACTCACTCAAAACCCCTCAACTACATGGAAACTGAACAACCTGCTTCTGAATGACTACTGGGTACATAATGAAATGAAGGCAGAAATGAAGATGTTCTTTGAAACCAATGAGAACAAAGACACAACATACCAGAATCTCTGGGACATATTCAAAGCAGTGTGTAGAGGGAAATTTATAGCACTAAATGCCCACAAGAGAAAGCAGGAAAGATGAAAAATTGACACCCTAACATCACAATTAAAAGAACTAGAGAAGCAAGAGCAAACATATTCAAAAGCTAGCAGAAGGCAAGAAATAACTAAGATCAGAGCAGGACTGAAGGAAATAGAGACAAAAAACCCTTCAAAAAAATCAATGAATCCAGGAGCTGGTTTTTTGAAAAGATCAACAAAATTGATAGACCGCTAGCAAGACTAATAAAGAAGAAAAGAGAGAAGAATCAAATAGACGCCATAAAAAATGACAAAGGGGATATCACCACCGATCCCACAGAAATACAAACTACCATCAGAGAATACTATAAGCACCTCTATGCAAATAAACTAGAAAATCTAGAAGAAATGGATAAATTCCTTGACACATACACTCTCCCAAGACAAAACCAGGAAGAAGTTAAATCTCTGAATAGACCAATAACAGGCTCTGAAATTGAGGCAATAATTAATAGCTTACCAACCAAAAAAAGTCCAGGACCAGATGGATTCACAGCCGAATTCTACCAGAGGTACAAAGAGGAGCTGGTACTATTCCATCTGAAACTATTCCAATCAGTAGAAAACGGGAATCCTCCCTAACTCATTTTATGAAGCCAGCATCATCCTGATACCAAAGCCTGGCAGAGACACAACAAAAAAAGAGAATTTTAGACCAATATCCTTGATGAACATTGATGCAAAAATCCGCAATAAAATACTGGCAAACCGAATCCAGCAACACATCAAAAAGCTTATCCACCGTGATCAAATGGTCTTCAACCCTGGGATGCAAGGCTGGTTCAACATATGCAAATCAATAAATGTAATCCAGCATATAAACAGAACCAAAGACAAAAACCAGATGATTATCTCAATAGATGCAGAAAGGGCCTTTGACAAAATTCAACAACCCTTCATGCTAAAAACTCTCAATAAATTAGGTATTGATGGGACATATCTCAAAATAATAAGAGCTATCTATGACAACCCCACAGCCAATATCATACTGAATGGACAAAAACTGGGAGCATTCCCTTTGAAAACTGGCACAAGACAGGGATGCCCTCTATCAACACTCCTATTCAACATAGGGTTGGAAGTTCTGGCCAAGAAAATGAGGCAGGAGAAGGGGATAAAGGGCATTCAATTAGGAAAAGAGGAAGTCAGATTGTCCCTGTTTGCAGATGACATGATTGTATATCTAGAAAACCCCATTGTCTCAGCCCCAAATCTCCTCAAGCTGATAAGCAACTTCAGCAAAGTCTCAGGATACAAAATCAATGTGCAAAAATCACGAGCATTCTTATACACCAGTAACAGACAAACAGAGAGCCAAATCATGAGTGAACTCCCATTCACAATTGCTTCAAAGAGAATAAAATACCTAGGAATCCAACTTACAAGGGATGTGAAGGACCTCTTCAAGGAGAACTACAAACCACTGCTCAATGAAATAAAAGAGGATACAAACAAATGGAAGAACATTCCATGCTCATGGGTAGGAAGAATCAGTATCATGAAAATGGCCATACTGCCCAAGGTAATTTATAGATTCAATGCCATCCCCATCAAGCTACCAATGACTTTCTTCACAGAATTGGAAAAAACTACTTTAAAGTTCATATGGAACCAAAAAGCCCACATTGCCAAGTCAATCCTAAGCCAAAAGAACAAAGCTGGAGGCATCCCGCTACCTGACTTCAAACTATACTACAAGGCTACAGTAACCAAAACAGCATGGTACTGGTACCAAAACAGAGATGTAGACCAATGGAACAGAACAGAGCCCTCAGAAATAATGCCACATATCTACAACTATCTGATCTTTGACAAACCTGACAAAAAGAAGAAATGGGGAAAGGATTCCCTATTTAATAAATGGTGCTGGGAAAATTGGCTAGCCATATGTAGAAAGCTGAAACTGGATGCCTTCCTTACACCTTATACAAAAATTAATTCAAGATGGATTAAAGACTTACATGTTTGACCTAAAACCATAAAAACCCTAGAAGAAAACCTAGGCAGTACCATTCAGGCCATAGGCATGGGCAAGGACTTCATGTCTAAAACACCAAAAGCAATGGCAACAAAAGCCAAAATTGACAAATGGGATCTAATTAAACTAAAGAGCTTCTGCACAGCAAAAGAAACCACCATCAGAGTGAACAGGCAACCTACAAAATGGGAGAAAATTTTTGCAACCTACTCATCTGATAAAGGGCTAATATCCAGAATCTACAATGAACTCAAACAAATTTATAAGAAAAAAACAAACAACCCCATTAAAAAGTGGGCGAAGGATATGAACAGACACTTCTCAATAGAAGACATTTATTTATGCAGCCAAAAAACACGTGAAAAAATGCTCATCATCACTGGCCATCAGAGAAATGCAAATCAAAACCACAATGAGATACCATCTCACACCAGTTAGAATGGCGATCATTAAAAAGTCAGGAAACAACAGGTGCTGGAGAGGATGTGGAGAAATAGGAACACTTTTACATTGTTGGTGGGACTGTAAACTAGTTCAACCATTGTGGAAGTCAGTGTGGTGATTCCTCAGGGATCTAGAACTAGAAATACCATTTGACCCAGCCATCCCATTACTGGGTATATACCCAAAGGATTATAAATCATGCTGCTATAAAGACACATGCACACGTGTGTTTATTGAGGCACTATTCACAATAGCAAAGACTTGGAACCAACCCAAATGTCCAACAATGATAGACTGGATTAAGAAAATGTGGCACATATACACATGGAATACTATGCAGCCATAAAAAATAATGAGTTCCTGTCCTTTTTAGGGACATGGATGAAGCTGGAAACCATCATTCTGAGCAAACTATCACAAGGACAAAAAACCAAATACCGCATGTTCTCACTCATAGGTGGGAATTGAACAATGAGAACACATGGACACAGGAAGGGGAACATCACACACTGGGGACTGTTGTGTGGTCTGGGGAGGGGGGAGGGATAGCATTAGGAGATATACCTATTGCTAAATGACGAGTTAATGGGTGCAGCACACCAACATGGCACATGTATACATATGTAACAAACCTGCACGTTGTGCACATGTACCCTAAAACTTAAAGTATAATAATAACAAAGAAAATACAATTGAGGAAGCTCTGTCCTTAATGGAGGTATTTTGAAAACTCTTTTAAGGATATTTTTTAAAGGTCTGAATGAATGGAAAGATGTAGCACTTTGAAATGTGGTAAGGCTTAACATGATAAAGTTGTTAATTCTCTCTCAAAAAAAATTAAAAATTTTCTGTATTTCTAATTAAATTCTTAAGATGGGAGATGGAATCTGATTAACTAATTCCAAAATTTTAGGGAATATAATCATTTATAAAGAGGAACTATTTAAAAAATACTAGCCCTAGTGTAAATTATTGAAATAAAATATAATTGTAAAGTGCAATATCAGTCAAATAAACCAATCAAAAGAAGTAGATACCTTAGAAGCAGACTTGAAGTTTATTATAGGTTAATGGTACCATCAGAAATCAGAAAATTATATTTCGTAAATTGTATCAAGAAAATGGTTTCACTATATTGAAAAAAACCCAAAGATTCCTATCACACACTACATACTAAAGTTCCAAATGCATTAAAGACCTTAATACGAATATTGTAACTAAAAGTTCAATATAAAGACATTTATAATTTCCTTATGACCTCACATCAGTAAGTATTTCTTAAATAAGACCTCCAAAGCGATTCTCCTGCCTCAGCCGCCTGAATAGCTGGGATTACAGACGCCTGCCATCATGCCTGACTAATTTTTTCTATTTTTAGTAGAGATGGGGTTTCACCATGTTGGCCAGGCTGGCCTCAAACTCCTGACCTCAAGTGATCTGCCTGCCTCGGCCTCCCAAAGTGCTGGGATTACGGTGTGAGCCACCATGCCCGGCCAATAAATCCAATTTGTTTAGGAGACTGGATAAGTTAAACTTTGTATATTCATAGAATGAAATACATGCAATTCTCAGACATCATGAACTACATTTACATATAGCAACATGATTAGATTTCAAAAAACAATTTTGAATGAAAAAATTAAGTATGTAAATTAAAATAAATACAAACACTAACTCATAACTATATATCTTCCTAGTCCACATATATACATAAATACATGTATTGAATAAGAATTGAAACACTGAGAAATAACTAGTATGGAATGGGTGCGTATGGGAAAAGAGGAAGGAGAGTATGGATGGGAAATAATTTTTTTTTAAGTATAACAAAAGAGTTCTGTTTCAATATGACCAAGTAACTTGTGACTCTCTTTCAGATTGCAATGTTCAACTCTGAACGAAATGCCAAAAACAAGTACCTGAAGGCTAAAGACAGTGAACAAAAGCAGGCAAGTTTTGGTGGGAAGATGAAACTTGGAAGAAGGTGCCATTAAGAGGAGGTAAGTTTCCTGGTTTTGATGTGTTAGCCTGAGGGCAGTCTACTAGCAGAGTAGCTAAAACACAATAGAAAGCCATCTTTTTTTTTTTTTTTTTTTTTTTTTTTTTTTTTTTTTTTTTTTTTTTTGGCTTGAACAACCTGAGAGCAGAGTCTGCAGCAACACAGTCACTGGATGGAGGGGGAAATCCCAGAACAGAGGCAGAGAAGGTCATGCCGCAATTTCTGAGTATGAACTTTGCTTAGATCTCTAGCTGACCCCTGAGGCACACCTGTGGGGTAGACCCAAAGCAATCTGCAGCTAGTCAGAACTCAACTGAGATGTGATTTACTTATAACCACAGGTTGGGTCAGTTTGCAGTTTGAGTTGAACCAAGTTAATCGATTGCCTGCCATAGCAAAAACATCGACACTATTCTGAGGAGTAAAACGGAATCCGTGGTTTCCACAACATAACAGTCACAATTCAAAATTACTCAGCATAGGAGGAACCAGAAAAAGGCAGTCCTTTGCAAAAGATAAGACAATTAATGGAAGCCAACCCTGAGATAACATAGATGTTGGCCTGATCAGACAAGGACTATGAAACAGCTATTATAACTATGCTCAATGAGGTAAAAGAAAATATGTTGTAATGAATGGAAAGATAAGAAATCTCAGCAAGGATGGAGAAATATTTAGAAATGTCGATGAAAAGAGTCAAACTCTGTAAAATATTTGAATAGATTTATTCTGAGCCAAATATGAGCGACCACGACACGTGACACAGCCGTCAGGAGGTCCTGAGAACATGTGCCCAAGGTGGTTGGGGTTCAGCTTGGTTATATACATTTTGGGGAGGCATGAAACATCAATCAAATACATTTGAAAAATACATTGGTTTGTTCCAGAAAGGCAGGACAATTTGAAGTGGGGGGGATGGTGCTTCCAGGCTATAGGTAAATTTAATCATTTCTGGTTGACAATTGGTTGAGTTTGTATAAAGACCTGAGATTAATAGAAGAATTTGAGCAAGATAAAAAATCAGAGCTTAGTCCTCAGAAAGAACCAAACAAATTTTACAAAAGAACCAAACAATATCTGAGATAAAAATATATCTCTTAATTCACTATGCTAAACTGCCTCCCTGCTTCTCAATGTTTATCTGTTAGATCAAGTTTATGTTTATCAATTGTGTTTAGACCTTATCTCCATTTACTAAGTTAAGGTCTTTTTGATTTATAAGTTTCTGAAAGAGGCATAATAAAAATTCCCACTATGGCTGTGGCTATATCAATTTTAGCTTGTAATTCTGACTGTTCCCACTTTTGTATGTTGAGATTTTTTGCTAGGGTCATTCACATTTATGATTATTATATCTGCTTTGTAAATTGTTCCTTATGTAGCATCTCACTTTATCCTTATTTATGTCTTTTCTTAAATTCTATTTTCTTTACTTTTTAACATCAATATTTTGTCAAAATTTGTAGAGTAAAATGTTTAAGAAAATCAAGGAAAGAAAATATGAGCCAGAAATTTTATAAGAAGACAAACTGACCTTTAATTATAAGAGTCACAGGCAAGTTCTAATGAAAACATTAGAATTCAGGGACTATTTTTCCCAGATCGTTCCTAAGGAATCTACTAAACAGCATGAACATTAAACAACCAACATAATTGAAAAGTTTGATATGAGGATTTATGGTAAGGATGAATCATATATTTATTTACAGAAATAAGTCTAAATTATGCTTACAAGGAATAGAGAATAGTATGCAATGGTTGTGTGCTCTGACAATGTAGATACAGTACAACTATAAAAAATTGGTGGGGGAGTGGGGAGAGCTATGAAAAGCAGAATTAGCTTGTCATTTGCCTTATAGTTATTAACTGAAGTAAAAGGACATTACTTCAAATCAGATGTTGAGGAAAAGGGAGAGTTGGGGCAAAAGAGGTTTATAGTTACTTTCAATATTGCTCATTAGAGGGAAGCAATAGTCATTTACCAAGAAAAAAGTAAAGAAGGGTTATATAATGGATTAAAATAAACATAATCATTAGAACAAAAATATAAACCTCACTAAATCACAGTAAAAAACAAGCAAATAAACTAGACCCTATGAAGACATGAATATATATGATTATAACACAAAACAATATGTCATACTGACACCAAACATATTTACCACATCAATAAATATAAATTAGCTTATCTCACCAATTAAAGTATATTTTCAGGTCAGGTAAAGTGGCTTATGCCTATAATCCCAGCACTTTGGGAGGTTGAGGCAGGAGGATCACTTGAGGCCAGGAGTTTGAGACCAGCCTGGGCAAATATGGCAAGACTGTCTCTACAAAATACATAAAGAAATCACTTTGGGAGGCTGAGGCAGGCGGATCAGTTGAGGTCAGGAGTTTGAGGCCAGCCTGGCCAACATGGTGAAACTCTGTGTTTACTAAAAATACAAAAATTAGTTGGGCATGGTGGCGGGCAGCTGTAATCCCAGCTACTCAGGAGGCTGAGGCAGGAGAATTGCTTGAACCTGGGAGGCAGAGGTTGCAGTGAGCCAAGATTGCACCATTGTATTCCATGCACTCCAGCCTGGGCAACAGAGCAAGACTCTAATTATATATAATTATATATATTATATATTAGCTAGATGTGGTGGTATGTGCCTGTAGCCCCAGCCACTCAGGAGGCTGAGGCAGGAAGATGACTTGAGCCTGGGGAGCCATGTTTGTGCCACTGCACTCCAGCCTGGGGTACAGAGTGAGACCCTGTTTAAAAAAAAAAAAAATCTTTTTAGATTGGTTAACAAAGCCAAATCACTGTGGCTTACATAAGAGACATACTTATGGCACAGATTCAGAAAGATTTTTTAACAAAGAAGAATGGTACTTAATAATGAGAGATTAAACACTTCCCCAATATTGGAACCAGTCAAGAATGTCCTCTTTCACCACTCCTATTCAACAATGTAGTGGAAGTCCTAACTAGTACAATAAAACAAGAAGGAAAAATAAGAGACATACATATTGGAAAGGAAAAAGTAAAGCTGTTTTTATTAACAAATTACATGACTGTCTACGTAGAATCTACCCAAAGAATCTATAGAAAATTCTTGGAACTACTAAGTAAATATAGCAAGGTTTCAGGACACAAGTCAATATATAAAATTTAATTGTTTTGCTATATACTAGCAATGAACAATTGGAATTTGAAATTACAAAAAAGAAAACCATTTACAATAGCACCAAAAAAGTGAAGCACTTAAGTATAAATCTAACAAAATATATACAGGATCTGTATGTAGAAAGCTGTGAAACATTAATGGAAGAAATTTTAAAAAATCTAAATAAATGGAGAGAGATTCCATGTTCATGGATTGGACAGACTAAATATTGTTAGGATGTCAGTTCTTCCCAACTTGATTTATTGATTCAATACCATTTCAATAAAAATCCCAGCAATTTTTTTGTAGCAATCAACAAACTGACTGAAATTTTATATGGAAAGGTAAAGGAACCAAAATAACTCAATTCTGAGAAAGAAGAACAAAATGGGAAAAATCTCATTGTCCCACTTCAAGGCTTATTACAAAGCTGCCGTTATCAAGACAATGCAGTGTTGGTGAAAGAATGAACAGATTAATCAAGGGAACATAATAGAAAGCCAATAAACAAATGCATACAAATATTATCAACTGATTTTTGACATAGGCACAAAGGCAATTTGATGGAAAAATGAGTCTTTTCAGCAAATAGTGCTGGAACAATTAGACGTTCATACATAAAAAAATGAGCCTAGACACAGACCTCACAATTGACAGAAAAGTTAACTCTAAATGGATGACAGACCTAAATAAATATAAAATCTAAAATTTCTGGAAGAAAACACACATGAAAATCTGTGTGAACTTGAGCTGTTGATGAGGTTTTAGAAATAATATAAAAAGCACAATCCATGAAAGAAAAACTGATAAGTTAGATTTTATTAAAAATTAAAGCTTCTGCCCTGTGAAAGACACTGTTAAGAGGATGCAGAGATAAGCCATAGAGTGTGAGAATATATTTTAAAAACACTTATCAGGTAAAGGACTTCATCTAGAATATACAAAGAACTCTTAAAACTCAATAATAAGAGAAAACAATTTTAAAATGTGCAAAAGATCTGAATGGACACCTCACCAAAGAAGAGACACGCATTACAACTAAATATATAAAAAAGACACTCAATTTTATTCGTCAGGGAGACAAATTAGAACAGCAATGAAATACTAATACATATCAATTAGAATGGCTAAAATTTAAAAAAAAACCTGACAATACCAGTTGCTGGTGAGAATGTAGAGCAGTAGGATTCTCACTCATTGCTGGTGGGAATCCAAAATGGCACAGCTACTTTGAAAGACACTTTGATAATATCTTATAAAGCTAAACATAGTCTTACCATTCAATATAGCAGTTTTTCTCCTGTATACATATCCAGTTGATTTGAATGCTTATGTCCACACAAATACCTGCACATGAATGTTTATAGCAGCTTTGATCATAGTTGCCCAAAACTGGAAGCAACCAAGAGCTCTTCAGTAGGTGAATATAGATAAACAAATTGTAGTACATTGATACAGTGGGACAATATTTAGCAATAAGAAAAATGAGCTATCAATCCATGCAACAACATAGGTGAATCTTAAATGCATAATGCTAAGAGAAAGAAGCCCATCTGAAAAGGCTATGCACTGTATGACTGCATTACTATGACATTCTGGAAAAAGGTGGTTCTATAGAGATCAAAAACCAATCAATGGTTGCCAGAGATTTGGGGAGGGGAGAAAGTTGAATAGGTGAATCAGAGGGGGACTTTTTAGGTCAGTGAAATTACTGTGTATGATACTGTTGTGTATACATGAAACTGCAAAAGCTCATTGAATCTTATAACACAAAGAGTGGATCTTTTTTTTTTTTTTTTGAGACAGATTCCTGCCCTGTCTCCAGGCTGGAGTGCAGTGGCGTGAACTCAGCTCACTGTAACCTCCGCCTTCCAGGTTCAAGCGATTCTCCTACCTTAGCCTCCCAAGTAGCTGGGACTACAGGGGCACACCACCACGCCCAGCTAATTTTTGTATTTTTTTAATAGAGATGGAATGTCACCATGTTGGCCAGGATGGTCTCGATAGCTTGACTTTGCGATCCACCCACCTCGGCCTCCCAAAGTGCTGGGATTACAGGCATGAGCCACTGCCCCTGGCTGAGTGAATCTTAATGTATGCAAAATAAAAAAATCAATAAGGAGATTGAGGGACTAAATGGTAGAACACAGTGTTTTAACTGTATTACAAATTTAACTGTATTACAAATGTATGACATAACCTTGCTGGATAAAAGTGCTGACCTAAGCTGCTTTGGAAATTAATAGAGTCTGTAAGGCGAAAGACAAAAAGAACTGCATATAAGCACTGTACTCTCAGTTAACAATTCTGAAACCATTGTATGTGTATGCTGGGAGATGAACAAATAAGTAAATAAATAGATGACAGATGGTGGGAGCCAGATTCCTCATGATTGATGTGGTAGGTGAAGGCTAGTGTGTGAACCATGTAGTGATAGATGAGAGAAATATCAGTATGAGCCCATGTTTAGCTTAATATAGATTGAAATGGATATTTTACATATAATTATAGATATGCATGTATTACTGGCTAGTATCATACATATATATATTTTTTCTTTTTCTTTTTTTTTTTTTAGAGATGGGGTTTTGCTATGTTGACCAGACTGGTCCCGAATTCCTGGCCTCAAACGATCCTCCCATCTCACCCTCCCAAAGTGCTAGGATTACAGGCATGGGGCACCATGCCTGGCCAATATTTCTGAGCGCTGTCTTCTGAGAGGGCCTAGAAGCAAAGACACCCCAATAGTAACAAACAGAGCCAGTGTCTAGATCTTTGTTTCCAATACCATTCTCCAGTGAAAGGAATCAGGGCTCCTTGGATAAACGGCTGATTCTAGGGCTGGGGCAGGGAATATACAAGATGAGCCTAAAGCATCTTGTAGTGTCGGAAAGCAAGAAATGCTCAAAAGAAGCAAACAAACAAAGGAACACAGGAACCAATGGAAAGAGCTCTCAATGGCCAAAGTAGAACAATTTGAGTAACAAAATAATGTACTGTTGGATTATGTCCCAAAGTATGAAATAAATATCTATGAATTCACACTGATGTAAATGAATGATTGAATAAACAAATATGTAAGGGATAATAGACAAATCTCTTGTACAGAAGAATTCCAGATAATGTATGCAGATTCTCCCCACTCAAGGAGATGGAACAGAACTGCCCAATCCTTAAGTGTGGAATTGACCTAGTGACCTCTTTTGAAAGAGTACAGTAAAGAGCAGGGTGGGGCAGAAGGAAGAGTAATCTTACTGTGGAGAAACCTGATGAACATCAGCTCAGCCAGGTGATCAAGATTAACATCATCAGTGATGTCATATTGACAGCATGCATCCTTGATGTGATGTGATGAGTGGAAGACCACTTAGCTCTGTGATCTTCCTTCCCTAAACCCATGAATTCTGTTTAACCATGAGAAAAATAACAGACAAACTAACATGGAAGGACAGTTTACAAAATACCAGACCACTGTTCCTTAAAACTGTCAATGTCATCAAAAACAAGGAAAGTCTAAAGAGAAGTGACAATGAAATATAATGTTGGCTGGGTGCGGTGGCTCACGCCTGTAATCCCAGCACTTTGGGAGGCTGAGGCAGGTTGATCACTTGAGGTTAGGAGTTTGAGACCAGCCTGGCCAACATGGTGAAACGCATCTCTCCCAAAAAATATAAAAATTAGCCGGGTGTGCTGGTTCATGTTTGTCATCCCAGCTACTCGGGAGGCTGAGGCAGGAGGATCACTTGAACCTAGGAGGCAGAGGTTGCAGTGAGCCGAGATGGCACTACTGCACTCCAGCCTGGGTGTCAGAGCAAGACTCTGTCTCAAAAAGGAAAAGAAATGATGTAACATGGCACCCTGGATGGGATTGTGGATGAGAAAATGCATATTAGGTAGAAATTAAGGAAATCTGAATAATATATGGACTTCAAATTGTAAGTATCAGTATGGTTTTATTGGTTATGCTACAATAATGTTGAAATGGAGGATATTGGGTACAGGGTATAGAAGAACTTCCTGTAATATTCTTACAATTTTTCTGTAAACCTGAAACTAACCTAAAGTAAAAAGTTTATTAAATCTTAAGAAAATCAGAGATTGAACAATTAAATACCACATTAAAAAAAAGGGAAAGGAAATCTTGGTATCTGATAAGGTAACATTCATAACCAAAAAAGTATTAAGAGATGAAGCAGGATACCATATATGCAAAAGGATAATTAAAACACAAGCAATGAATATTTATGCACCGAGTACAGAGATACATGCTTAAAGCAGAAAATATAAGAGATTCAAGAATACTTAGAGAAATTCACTTTAAGGATAGCCACATCTAATATGTGACTTATTTATAGCATGCCAAGTGAACAAAGTTAGTAAGGCTATTAAAGAACTAATAACCATAAAGACAGATCGTGTAGATATATACTGAACTCTGAATTCTAATAATAGAGAATATAACTTTAGAGGAACATATGAAACCTTTACAAATATTCTCTATATCTTAGGTCATGAAGAAAACCTCAATAAATGCTAACTGGTAGAAATAATAATAAAGGCAGCATTCTTATAATGCAGGTATTTAATAGAGATTTATGAAATAAAAACCCCAAATACCATTCCACTCAGAAGTTAAAAATGTTTCTAAACAACTCGTGACTCAAAGAAAAATATAAATAAAATCAATTGGGTATTTTGAAAGTAACTATAATTAATGCATATTATGTTAGAATCTATGAGATACAGCTAAAAGAATTATCAGTTAAGTTTATAGCATTAAGTACCTATGTAAATGAGGAGATAAAACTAAATGAATTAAACACCCAGTTAAAAAGTTAGAAAAAGGAAAACAGAGTAAATCAAAAGAAAGAAAAAGGTAGGAATTGATAGGAAGGTAAAAGCAAAAGTAATGCATTAAAATACAGAAAAATAGTAGAAGAAACAAAAACCTGGGTTTTATTTTGAAAGAATAAAAAATAAAAAAATAGACAAGCCACTAGTGAATCTAATCAATTCAAAAGGAAGAAAACACAAATATGCAAAATTAGACATCTTTGAGGGAAAACCTGAAAAGGGGGAAAAGTTTAAAAGTAACAAGATGATTTTCACAATTTTAAGCAAATACATATGAGAATCTAGATAAAATGGATAACTCAGAAAATACAACCTATCAAAATTGACCTGAGTGACATTAAAAAAATAGAGAATAGTGAAAAAAGTAGCAGAGCACTGCTACTGAATGCACAAAGCCAGGCTGATGGAATTCTACCAAACTTTAAAGATCAGTCAATCCCAATATTACTTAAATAAGTTCAGAGCACTAGAAACAAATAAAAACAAAAAGCTTCCAAATCAATTCTTACGAAATAAGTATAATGTATTTTCCAAAACCTAATATTGTACCAAGAACTTTAGATTTATGAATATTGAGATATACATCTTAAATAAAATATTGGCAAGCAATCCAAATGAACATTACACAAAAATAATACATCATAATTCAGAGAGTTTTATTCCAGGAATACACATTTTGTTCCGTTTTTAATGTAATTCTTCACATTAATACAGCTAATGTGAGGAATTACATGATTATCTTCATAAAAGCACAATAGGACTTTGACAAAATTAGTACTGATTCATGTTGAAAAACACAACAGAAAGAAATTTATGGATTTCCTCTACACATAAAATATATACTTTAACTCAAAAGCTTGCATTTTACTTAAGGGAAACACTAAAGGCTTTGTCACCAAAATCAGGAACAAGACAAGGATGCCTACTATCTCATTACTTTCAACATTGGGATGGAGGTGTTAGCTAATGCAGTTAGAGAAGAGAAAGCAATTCGAGACACTGGAATTGAAAAGGAAATAAAAATAATCTTTATTTTCAGATGCAATTGTTATTTATCTGAAAAACCCCAAAGTATCAATGGAGAAATGACTACAAATAATAAAAGAATTTAGTAAAATAGTAGGAAATAATATATAAAAAAATAGCTTTTGTGTATATAGACAAAAAATAGAGAGAAGCTAAAATGGAAGTGACAATCCAATATATGGCAGCAAAATGATAATAAAATACTTAAGTGTACATTTAGCACACGTGTCCAAGATTTATATGAGGAAAACTCACAAAACACTACTGAAGAAAACAAAATTGAACAAATGTAAAGGAAACCATGTCCTTGGATAGAAAAACTTAACATCATAAGGATGTTGTTTAGTCTTCCAAGGTTAACTTATACATTTAATAAAATCACAATAACAATGTCCTAAATATCTTCTGGGTCAGACAGGCCAGTTAGAAAGTTCACTTGAAAGGATAAGTGAAAGAGAATAGTTACAAAACGTATGGGGAATAGAAAAGCCAAAAGTGTTGGGTGTGGGTGGGATTAGCTCTACTAGATATTAAAACTTACTTGTAAAAATCTTTGTAATTAAAGTAGGATGGTATTGATGCATGAATAAAAAGACAATGTAACAGAATTGAAAATCAGAAATAGACCTCATTATATATACAAATTTAGTATGCTACGGAGGCCGCACTCAACATCAGTGAGGATATAGAATGGAATTTTAAATAAGAAGATTAGGATAATTGGAGAGTCATATGGAAAAAGTTAAATGAGATTGATGTCTTATATCTTTCAACAGCGTAAATTCCAAGTGGATCAGATATTTATAGACAATGTAACTATACAAGTAAAAAAATAAGAAAACATGGATGAATACCTGTATAATCTTTGAGCGGGAAAAACTTTCTAACTGTGACTTAACACACAGAAACATGTTATAAGGGAAACAGTACTGCTAAAAAAATAACTTTTGCATGGAAAAGGAAATCATAGACACAATAAAAAGATAAAATGACAAGCTGGATTTACATGGCCAGATTGAGTGTTTAAATAAGTTATTTACTGATGAGGAAGTTGGTAGCTTTAACAAGGGCCATTTTGGGAGCGTGTGCAAGGTCAAATCCTAATTGGAATGGACTGAGGATGAATGGGAAATGAAGAAATAGAGGTTGTTGGTGTCCACAATGCCTCTAAGGAGTTAGGTAGAGAGAGAGAAGATAGGGCAGTAGTTGAGGTGGGGGAGGAGGGGCAGGACTAATGGAGTGGGACTGACTTGAGGCACGTCACACAGGTGAGGGCTTACTGTGTGATCTGCATCAAAGGTGATTTGCTCCTACCTTTGTGAAGTTCTGAGAAATTATAAAAATCATCCAGGTTACTACTGAAAAAGAGATCAAGATCAGCAGCGTTTTTTGAAGCATTGTATTTGAGGACATGACGAATGTCCTAGGAGAGATGACACAAGAGAGGAGTCGTGAGAAGTGAATCTCTCTGTACTCACTCATTATTTTATTTATAACTTGTAATTTGCCTCCAACATTTTGTTCTCCTTTTGTGAGTCACTGTCTTCTTTCCCTCTGCTAACTAACAACTCATACCCCCAATCCCTTTGTCTACCTATTGGATACTTCTTGTCGAGGTTTCACTCAGGATTGTTGCTTCCTCCTTCCAGGACCCTGAAATGGAAGTCAAAGTCACCTTATAGGTTCTCTTAATGCCCTCTGTATTTTCTTAGTTACAAGACATAACAATTACAATGAGAAGCAGAAAACTTAATTCATCAGCATGTCTTTTGGGGGAAGATTAGGGATAGTGGATGGAACCACAGGAATATGCTCGTATTACAAAACATAATCTGTAAAATGCCTTTAAAGAAAGCCAGTCCTGTTAACTGGGCAGGGAGGTGGGATGGGTAGCTTTTGTTTTGCTGAATGCCAAGTCTGAAATTTGGAAATGGAAACTCCTTCAGGAATGAATTACTCTGCATAATAAAGAAGAGATGATCCAATAAGGCTGGGCACTGTGTGAGGAAGGGGGAAGAAGGAGATAGAAAGAGACAATGAGGGAGAGAGATGGAGAGAGAGAGAAAGAAGCTCCTCCATACCATGCCCATGTTAGTACTGTCATGGAGAACAGAAATAAAATTATATGATTTAAATAGCTTATTTTAGGAAACAAAATGTAAAGCCTTGCCTCTTTGTCCCTTACCAAATCCTCAGTGAAGTCTCAATTGTGTGAAAGGTTTTGTGTGAGTGGTTTCGTTTTGTGGAATCCAAAAAGTTCTGTGTTTTGAATCTGGATGCGCAGAGCAATTTAGATACTTCACAGGCAAAATGGAAGTGAGAGAACAAAGGATCAGTTTAGAGTTGGTTAACCTTTGGGAAGTCCAAGATGAAATTATTTTAAACAAGATATAGTACACAGTTGCAACTCATATTGAATCACTACCTTCTGATTGATCTATGACTTCCCAATTACTGAAGCGTGGTGTGAGAGAACTTGTAGAGGTGTTGAGTGTTGAGACCAAATGAATGAATACAGAAGAGAAGACAAGGGGCAGCTCTAATTTGTGTCACACACTATATTGCAATAGATTATTTACTTTTTGATTTCCAAAAGACTGTCAATTTCTGAAGAATTGGAATAATGTCTATCGCAGCATTCCATGTCCAGTGTCTAGCATGGTGCCTGACAAGCACAATATTTGTTGAATAAATAATTTCAAAACAGAATCCCGATTTTTAGACCAACTTCAACTTCTGTCCACTGAAATTTCATATTTTCTCGGAATGTACAAAAAGCATGTTCAATAGGACAAAGAAGAAGAAATCAATCAAGGGGCTACTCTGACCCCTCCTGCCCCCGAGACTGATCCAGGTTTTCTGACTTTTAAGTGAATTTTGTAAAGTATGAGTTATAATGTCTCATCTGATTCATTTTTCCTTGCCTAGAAAGTAGTGCGTATGGATATGTTTCAGCAGCATTGAAAAAAAAGTATGATTGCTATTGCACTTTTATAAATCTTAGATTCTCAATCTCCTTTTCATAGATCTTTAAACTTATTCTGTAAAATACTGGGTACTTACCCAATAGGTGTCAGGTAGCACAGAATGCACTGAAAATAAGGAGAAGCAGCAAAATTAATGAAATAAACATTTATGTTGGATTAGAATACAGTAGTAGAAATACCAAATTCTTGTTGATCTCTGAAGAAACCTTGTTCTTCTAAGCTCCTGAGTCTTTGCCCAAGCTGTGCTTCCTGAAATTCTTATTACCTCCTCCCTCACTGCACCAACACTGCTCAATCTCCACCATGCTTCCTGGTAAACTTAGAAAATTCCTATTCATTGTTTGGGTTTGAGCTTTAATGCCAACTGTTCTTTCCTCAATCGTTTTCATTGATAATTTATTCCTTTGTGCTCTTATAGTCTCGTATGCATATCTTTGTAATAATATGTGCTATACTGTTGTATCTCCTTATGTGTCTGTGCCTTCATTAGACTGATGGACATTCTAGAGGAGATTCCCTCGGAGAGTCCCTCATTCGAGAGGAGAATCACCTCAGGCTGAATCTACCTATCTTGGATTGCTGATATGTCACAAGATCCCAGTCCTGACAACCAAGCAGTTCTGTGGTTCATATCCCTGGTCTGATATTTCCACTGATGCACTACCAACTTTGGTTAGAGTTGGCTCCTTTGAGAGTGGCCAGAGAGCTTCTTTGTCAGACGGAATTTTACTGATGGCAGAGTTTTGGAAATTTATTAACCCCATCCTCTATACCATGCTTATTTTTGCATCTATTTTCTACTTGGAACCCTTAATCAAGATCACATTTGTCTAAGCCATAAGTAACTGCAAATCAGACTTCTTAGAATCCTATGGCCAGATAATCTCATTTATTCCGAAATCAATGTCTCACCTAGATTCTACTCCTTAGCTTGAGCTCTGCATATCCCAGTGTCTTTAAGATGCCTCCATTTGGAAATCCTCACTGGTAGAGGTGAGCTGAACCCAGCCTTTGCTGGCTTATGAAAGCCTATTCATGCACATTTCTTTCCAACTGCTCATTCAGTGACATCATCTTGGTAGCTTGAAATAGGCCATGATGGGTACATTTAGATCGTGGAAGTCATCAAAGGCTATAAACAGGATTTTTGTTTTTGTTTTCTGGGAGAGCAGGTTTGTCAGTATACCCCTGCTCATAGGAATCTCAAAGTCAACTTGTCCAATTGCAATGTTTTTTCTTCTTCCAAATGTCTTCTACTTTTTCTTCTCCCCATCTTTGTGAATGGTATCCCAAATCAGAAACTTGGCCACTATCTGACTCACTTGTCTCCTCTCCTTATGCTTCTATATGGTCATCCTCAGACAGGATTGAATCAATGTACAGAGCCCGCTAGTTGTCTCTTTCATCAGCTGTAATAGAAACTTGTAGCTGGACATGTGTTAGCCGAGATACACAACCTTTCCTGGCCTCTATTGTATTTGACTGTGGCCAGGACACTGAGTTCTCTGATATGTAAGCAGAGGCCATGTGTGCCATACCTCCTCCAGGTTCTCTTTCCTCTTCCTACTTGTGTAAATGAGAGGGGGCAGCAGCCTAGCTTAGACCACAGAGGTGATGACAATATTCCAGAACAGGGGGTTCTTAAACATTCTTTGTGACATGGGCCCTTTGATAATCAGTCCTATGACCTCTTTTCCAAATACATAAAATAAAATGTATAGAATTATAACAAAAGCCAATTATACTGAGGTATAGTTATCAACATTTTAAATAAACTAATTTGTTATATAGTCAAATAGCATTTTTTAATTAACATGCTAAATAACAAAATTTAGCAGCCAGGTCTTATATTTACAGTAATTTCAAAGCAATAATAATTATGAGTGATATTTCAAGATTCTTTATTAACAGTACTGTGATATGAAAATAATCTGTGACTTCAAGTCGCTAAGCCACAGGCATTGCTAATATTACCGTGATTTGTTGTCATAATTCATAATTGAAGAGATTACTAAACTTTATTTAGAAGCTAGTGAAAATAAAGGTGTTATTTTTTTCCCATTCAGGTTCACAGGCCTCCTAAACTCTGTGCATGGGCCCATTTGTGGGCCTGCCAACCCTAGAATAAGACCACTGGCAGGGGATAGCAGAGCTTGATGTTTACCTTCCTGGATGACCTCAAGGTGCACACCCTAACTAGATAGTTACATGAGACATAAATCCCTATCTTGTTTTCTTGTTTAAGTCATTGCATCTTGGGAGTCCTTTTTTTTTTTTCATGGCAGTCCAGCCTGTCTACATCTACCTATTAAGTATCTCTTCAATTTGTGGTTCTTTTTTTTGTCATTACTGTTGCTGTCTGGTATAGATATTTCTGGGGCATTAACTGGGAATTGTTTCAGTTTTGTTTTTACAGCATTACTGAGGTATAATTTACATTCAATAAGAATACATGATTTTTTTTTTGAGATGGAGTCTTGCTCTGTTGCCCAGGCTGGAGTACAGTGGTGAGATCTCAGCTCACTGCAACCTCCACCTCCCGGGTTCAAGTGATTCCCCTGCCTCAGCCTCCTGAGTAGCTGGGACTACAACAGGTATGTGCCACCATGCCCGGCTAATTTTTTATATTTTAGTAGAGACAGAGTCTCACCATGTTGGCCAGGATGGTCTCGATTTTCTGACCTTGTGATCTGCCTGCCTTGGCCTCCCAAAGTGCTGGGATTACAGGCGTGAGCCACCACGCCCAGCCAAGAATACATGCATTTTAAGTGCACTGTTTTATGAATGTTGGCAAATGTAGACACCTGTGTACCCATCACAATCAATAAGTAGAATATTACCACCACCCCAAAGTTCCATTTCCTTGTCAATTTTGTCCTCCTCCTGTGCATGCCCCGCTGCCCATGCCTAACGTGTTTCTGGCCCCGGATAATCACAGATTTAGTTTTTGGCACTACAGATGAGATTTCTTTTTCTAGAGTTTCATATAAATGGAATAATGTAGAATGTACTCTTTTGTGTCTGGCTTCTTGGACTTATGATTATGTTTTTGAAGATTCATCAAGGTTGCATTTATCAGTAGTTTGTTCCTTTTCATTATTGAGCAATATCTCATAATATCTATTCCTCATTTGATAAATATTTGGGTTGTTTAAAGATTGGGGCTATTGTGAATAGAGCTGCTCTGAATATTCATATATGGTTCTCTATATGGACAAATGTTTTAATTTCTTTTTGGTAAGTACCTAAGGGTGGAATGACAGGGCCATATGGTAAGTAAATGTTTAACTTTTGACAAATCTACAAAAAGCCTACTGGAATTTATTGCTCTTAATCTGTAGGTAAATTTGGGGAGAATTGCTCTAGTAACAATATTGAGTTTTCCAATTCATGAAAACAGTTTATACCTCTCAGTTTGAATTTATGGAGAGTTGGTTTTATTTACTTTAAGGTGGGTCTTGAAAAGCCTGGGCTTTTTACACCACGTTCCTCCTTTTTACTGGAACTCAAAACCTACAAACTCTGTTTCCTCCTTCAGTGAGCAACAGATTAAATCTCTACTTATTCAGCAGTTGTTCTGTGCTACACTTTGTGGAGTCTCCCTTGGATACACAGAGCTCAGGGATCAGTCAAAGATTTGAGAGTAGATTTCAGGGCTTTTTCTTCTAAGGCCTTTCTCCTGGAATTTCCCTGGTCAATTGCCTTGAACTCCATCCTGTGACATCTCCAGGCTGCAAGTCTGCAGTTTTCTGCTTGAATTCAAGTTGCTTTGCACAGTACACACTGAGGTATATTGTCAGGATAAGAGCCCTTAAAGCTGGCTCCCACGCAGCATGATTCCCTACTTTTAAGTGTCAAATTCCCTCTAGTTTCTGCCAGTTTTTGGCCTTTTTCTAGTGCTTTCATATCATTTTTTAAAATGTATTTTTTTCCAGAGTTTAATACTGTTCTATGAGAAATATTAGTCTCATCTAAGCCACTCTGACATTTTTTGCAGCTGGAACTTCCTAGTCCATTTATATTTCATATTATCGTTGATATATCTATGTAATTTTATCTTACTATTTGGTTTTTATTTGTCCCACCTTCTCTATTTCTATTCCATTTTCTCCCTTTTTGACTTTTTTTTTTTTTTGAGACAGAGTCTCACTCTGTTGCCCAAGTTGGAGTGCAGTGGCACTATCTTGGCTCACTGCAACCTCTGTCTCCTGGGTTCAAGCAATTATAGTGCCTCAGCCTCCTGAGTAGCTGGGATTACAGGCGTGAGCCACCACACCTGGCCAATTTTTTGTAGTTTTAGTAGAGACGGGGTTTCACCATGTTGGCCAGGCTGGTCTCGAATTCCTGACCTCAAGTAATCTGCGTGCCTCAGCCTCCCAAAGTTCTGGGATTACAGGCATGAGCTACCGTGCCCGGCCCCCTTTTTGACCTCTTGTGTATTAGTCAAAAACTCTAAAATTATTCTATTTCCATTCTCATTTAGCTTGTTATAAAAACTACTTTAATAATTTCTACTCTATTTTGGAAATTTCAATATGCATCTTTGACTTAATGAAGTCTAATATAAATTGGTACTTTTACTAATTATTAGGAAATGAGGGACCTTAGAAAACTGTACTCCATTTACATTTAACTCTTTCACATTTTCTTGCTATAGTCAGGCATTTCAGTTCTAGAAATATTTATTTTATTTCTTTTAGAGATGGAAAAGAAATATGCTGCCTAGGTTGGACTGGAACTACTGGGCTCAAGTGATCCTTCTACCTTAGCCTCCCATGTAGCTGGGACTATAGGCACTCACCACTGACTGGTTTAATTCTAGGAATATTTAAAACACCACAATATATTATATATAATACATATATATATATATATATATATATATATATATATATATAAAATCCTTGTTCATTTATATTTGTACATTTAGTTTCCTTCTTTTTCATTCTTCTTTGCCGTTCTCTACTGTCATTTGGGAGAATTTATCTTCTGCTTCAAGAACTATCTTTAATATTCTGTAAGACATCTTCTAGTGACAAATTCTCAAGGTTACATTTTAAAAAATCTTATTTTGCTTTCATTTTGAGGGTTTCTTTTGCGGGCTATACAATTCTAGATTGACAAGTGTTATTTATTTATTTTTGTTTTTGGTGGTTAAAAGCATCAGCACTTTGAATATGTTACCTCATTTTCCTTCTATTTCCCTAACTGCCCTTTGTTCCTCTCTTGCTTTCTCTCTAGAATCTAGATCTCTCAACCCCTCACTGCCCCAGTTGCTCTCTGACGCTTAACAGATCAAATATAACATCCTCTAGCTTTTCTAGTTGCTCTCAAAAGGAGACTATAAGCAAGTCTACTATTTTGGGAAACATAAATTTTATTTATAATTATAAATATAAACTATACACACATCTATGTATATGTGTTTATGTGTGTGTGTATATATATATCCATATATATGCACATTCTATATGTTTTTCTTTTTATTTCATTTTCCAAACAAATATCTGTGGCTGATGTGTAGAAATGCAAGTGCTTTATTTTAATAGTGCTTTTATATAGGCACACATAGAGAACAAAGATGATTAGAAGTGGCCATATTGGGTACGTTTGCCTTGTTTTCATAGTTAGTTTCAACATTTTACTATGTGTAATTAAATATATGATGTTGGATTTGTGATATTTGCTTTTCTTAATGCCTTCTATTAGATTGAGGAAGTTCTCTTTTAAGAAAGTTTGTGAAGTGTTTCTATTACTAATGGAAGTTGAGTTATTGACAAAGGCCTTTTCTGATTCATTGAGGTAATTATATGAATTTTTAAACTTTTATGTTTAAATGTGATGTATTACATTCGTATATTTTCTAAAGCTAAACAATCCTCCTGTTATGGACTTAAGCTGAACTAGGTCACAATATAGATTGGATCTTTATACATAACTCTGCTGTGCTATGTAAGAGTACAAATTAACATGATCGTTTTGAAAGCAGAATGGCAATATTTCTGTTAGTTTGTGTTTATCTATGCCCTATGTCCAAGCAATTCATTCTGGATACATCACAGAGGACTTCTCAGTCAGGTCCATAAAGAATCACATACAAAGTTTGTTTTCAGTTGATTATATGTATAGCTGTAATTGTAGGGAATTAAATAGACTTTAATATGTATTACTATGAAATGGTTAAGAAACATGTAGTGGATGTGTATTGTGGGATACTATCCAACAGTTAGATACAACTCACTAGATTTACCTGTAATATGAAGAGCTCTTAAAAACAGCTCTAAGTGAAGAAAGAAATAAACATAAATCTTTATCACATTTTTATGTAAATTAAAAATATACATACAAAGCACAATACATGGATACACACATACTCAAAGACAAAAATTAAAAAAGAATCCTTCCTGCTTTTCTGGCTTTGTTTATGACTCATCCTACTGCCCACCTGGGGTGGCCTGCCCCTGCACCAATCTAGACTCTATAGTCAGTGAATCCCCAGCTCAGGGGCAATCTCTACAGGAAACTTTCCAGCATAACTCTAGACCACAACGATCTCTCCCGTATTTTGAATTCCTGTGACATATTCATACATTTTCCACCCAAACAATGTCATACATAAAACAAGGCAAAGAAATATCAGTTGTAAACAGGTATTTTTGATGTCCTTCTTCCTCTCTCCAACTAGATGTTAGGTTGAGTGACTGTATCCATGCTTGCTTCCCACAAAGCACTGGGGACTTTTGCTGGTTGGTTATTAGAGAAATATTTTATCTTGATGCTGTCTCACCGTCAAAACCAGCCTATCCTTGTCAGTAAGAGAGGCTCTCACTATCAGTTTTTTTTTTTGTTTCCCACACTTTCTTCTGAGCTTTCTCCCTTTTCTTATCTTTCTCTGACTTGAGAGAACCCCTCAGCAGACACAGTCTTTCTAATTTCTTTTGCTTTGTTCTTCCCTGCCCTCCACTGACCACTGGCAAGATTAGAAATAGAGAAAGGCAGTCTCCATAGTTTTGCTTACTCACCTGTTTTAATGATCTCTCCTATCTGGGTGGCTGGAAAAGTACCTGTGAGTTCTTAACTGGCTCTTGTGGCTGTGTAAAATGTTTTTGTTCCTTGTCTGTGAACACATTTATTTTCATCAGTCTGTTTTCCTCGTAAATTGGCTTATCTTGGGGTGGAGATTTGAAGAGGCAATAAACAGTAGTACAATTAACTGACAATTAGATAATTCCACAGCCTCTGTTAACTGGGTGTTACTCGGGTATTCTTTGAGATTCCTTCTCTCTCCATGTTACTGGTGACCCTTGGGAATGGAAAACCTCTTAGTTCTGAAACAGCTGTGGTCCTTGAAGTCATAGTGTAAAAATACCCCAAGTGACTCTATGGATAGGCTTTCCTCAGAAAATCTGAAGTCTCACGACAACTCCAAACAAGAGAACAAATTGTCAGTGGACACCATGCAGAGAACTGGTGGGTGATTGAGAATTCTTTTTTTTTCTTTTTTTTTTTTTTTTGGACAAGGTTTTGCTCTGTTGCCCAGGCTGGAGTGCAGTGGCGTGATCATAGCTCACTGCAACCTCGAACTCCTGGGCCCAAGCCATCCTTCTGCCTTGGGCCTAGGGGCTACAGGTGCATGCTGCCACACCTGGCTAATATTTTTAATTTGTATTTTGTAGAGATGGGGTCTTACCATGTTGCCCAGGCTGGTCTTGAACTCCTGGGCTCAAGTGGTCTGTCTTCCTCGGCCACCCAAAGTGCTGGGATTACAGGCATGAGCCACTTTTCCCAGCTGGATCTTTTATCGGTTTGAAAAGGATATCTAATAAATGGGGAAGGACTATTTGCTCTGAGTTAGGGAAAGGGGATATGGTTCATTAACTCGTCATTATCATAAACATTATTTAATTCACCAATACAGTAAATGTTGCTGTAACTTCTGCTATGCCAAATGCCTGTAACATGAAAGGGAATATATGGGTGTATATGAATAATTAGGCCTATTAATCCTTCTTTCCCCTCTAACCCCTGGTCACCACTGGTTTTCTTACTGTCTCCATGGTTTTGACTTTTACAGAATGTCACATAGCTGCAATCATACAGTGTGTAGCTGTCCCAGATTGGCTTTTCTCTTAGCGATACGGATTTCAGTTTCTCTGTCTTTTTGTGGCTTGATAGCTTATTTCTTTAGTGCTGAATAATATTTTACTGACTACATATTGGAGACCTTTCTCTCATGCCTCATGCCCTTCCCTCTGGAACCTTCATATTTGTCATGTGACTGTTACTTCAGCTCTGTAACATAAATCTAACTTCATCTCTCTTTCTAAGCCTGGATGCCCAGACCCTGTGCCAATTTGTAAGATTTAGTTTTGAAGATCACAAGTATTATTAGTACTGTGCTAAGTACTCATAGGATTAAATGAATTAATACATGTACAACATTTAAAAACAGTTTCTGACACTTAGTTTAAGCACTAAATAATTAGCAACTACTACTATCACCACCCCAACTACTACTATTTATGCATGGGAGTAAATTTTGAGATTGGCTTTTTTCTCCCACTCAGCGTAACGTCCACGATGTCCATCCAAGTTATTGCATGTGTCAACAGTTCATATGAACATATTGCCTCACTCACAATTAGGCAATATTGTTTGTTACCTTGGTTTCTTTAACCAATATTGTTTCTAAAACCTACTCCTCACTACTCAATTTGTTTCTTATCTTGTAAAGTCTTTGGTAGCTCTTTCAGAGGGGACCAGTATTAGACTGAGTACATATTTTTTCTTCCTAAATAGATGATAAATTTACTTGCTATAGAATTAGGTGAAAAATATTTTTCTTCTTAGCCTTGAGGATACTGTTTCATTCTCTTCATGCATCCAATGTCATTTATGAAATGTCTGATGTCAAAGTTAGTATAATTGTGAATCTTTGTAGCATTTTTCTCTTCATCCTTGGTATTATGAAATTTTATGCAGATCTTTTTATCTTCATCATGTTTGGCGCTTTTAATGGCCCATTAGACCTGAGATCTAATATCTGTTAACTTTTCTTTCATAATTTTGATCACACTTTCCTTTTATTCTGTATTCTGCAAGAATTCTTGAGTTAACATTTTATTTCTCCAGTTTATTGTTTTCATTTTGAACTTTAGTGTGTCCCTCAAGTTTTTCTTTATTTCACGTATCATATTTTAAATTTAACAAATATCTAGTTAACTCTAAGTATGGCTGCAATATCCTCTCACATCAGTCTGGTAATTAAACACACTTATTCTAAATTCTTGTATCAACTGTCCTTTTAACTTTGTTTTCTTGGCATGTCAATTTCTTCTGATTATTGTGCTTTATGCCTCTCTTTCAAGTGTTAGTCTCTTTCAAATGATTGGTAATTTTTGGTTATGTGTTCATCTTTGCATTTGAAATTTTCTGCTAGCCTCCCTGTAAATGTTGGGTTTATTTATTGCATTTTCTTCTGGGAGAGTGGTTAGAAATATTTCCTGGTGCTGAGTGCCAATATCCAGTCTTCTGAGAGTCCATGCTCTCTTCTTCCCTCTTGGGGATTATGCACAGCACTGCTCTGTCTTCCCAGCCCTTGCACACATTCTCAGTGCTTCCATATGATATGTGGAGAGGTCATACCTCATGGCTGTCTCTGTTAAACTCTGTGTCCACCTTTACTGATTTCAGTAGGAATCATAGGAAAAGACAGAAATACTATTATTTTACATATTTCTCATCAGGATATCCAACAAGTTCTGTTTGATATCAAACATAAATCCTGGGACTATTTAATTATGCCATTTTCCTAGACTCTGTAACAACTTTCACAACTGCATCTGTAATCTCTCTTATTTATTACTATCCAGAGTCAAGTTGACTTTACAGAAGTAAATTATCTCTTTCAGTCGTTGTATCCAATCACACAAGCTAAAGGAAAAAGTATACTTAATGACTCATATGAGTGGGAAGTCTTAGGAATTAATCTAGCTTCAGATAAGGCTCGATCTGTGGTTCAAACAATGTAATCAAGCTTCTCTCTAAGCCTGTAGGCTCTCCTGTCCTATTTTCTTAGAGATGCTTGCTCTCAAGATAATGCAGCAAGATAGTCCTAACATGCTTAAGCCATACATGGTCGTTGGTGTTCAAGATCTCAGAATGAGAGAGACCCATTTCTTTTCAGAATTTATATTAAGTCACAGAAAAAAACCAACAACTCTAATCAACTGTGCTAGTACCAATCACTTATGAAGGGTTTGGGGGAAGAGTGTTTTGATGAACCAGTAGGCACCAAAAATAGGCAAAAATCACATGATTGAGAGTCTCAGAGTCTCAGTAGCATGCTATAAAGTGGGGAAGGTACAGTTCTCCAGGAAAAGAGGGGCCCTCTTTCTGGAAGTAGGAATATTAGTCACAATTCAGCAAGAGATGTTCAGTACAAGAGGCAATAAAGATGAGGGCAAATAAGAGGGTGAGTCATATTTTCTGTCACTAATCCCTCATCTCTCTTTTTATCTCTCAGGAAGCTTTTCTGAAATTTTACTTTCTCCTCATATGAGTCATATAGGGAATTTACTTATTGATTCATTCATTTTCTTATTTACTTCCAGTCATTTATTACATGCCTGCAGTTGCAAACTTGAAAATAACTGGGATGCCACGTGTGGACGCTTATCTCTAAAGTTTGGGATTATTTTAATTAACTCCTAAAAAGCTTCTGCACAGCAAAGGAAATAATCAGCAGAGTTAACAGACAACCCACAGAGTGGGAGAAAATTTTCACTAACTATGCATCTGACAAAGGACTAATATCCAGAATCTACAAGGAACTCAAACGAATCAGCAAGAAAAAAACAAACAGTCTATCAAAAAGTGGGCTAAGGACATGAATAGACAATTCTCAAAAGAAGATTTAGGAATGGCCAACAAACATATTGAAAAATGCTCAACATCACTAATTATCAGGGAAATACAAATCGAAACCACAGTGCAAACCACCTTACCCCTGAAAGAATGGTCATAATTTAAAAAATAAAAAATAATAGATGTTGGTGTGGATGTAGTGAAAAGGGAACACTTTTACACTGCTGGTGGGAATGTAAACTAGTACAACCATTGTGGAAAACAGTATGGAGATTCCTTAAAGAACTAAAAGTAGATATACCACTACTGGGTATCTACCCAGAGGAAAAGAAGTCATTATATGAGAAAAGACACTGGCACACACATGTTTATGGCAGCACAATTAGCAGTTGCAAAAATATGGAACCAGCCCAAATGCCCATCAATCAATGAGTGGATAAAGAAAATGTGGTATATATATATCATGGAATACTACTCAGCCATAAAAAGGAAGGAAATAATGGCATTCGCAGCAACCTGGATAGAGTCGAAGCCTATTATTCTAAATGAAGTAACTCAGGAATGGAAAACCAAACATCATATCATATGTTCTCACTCATAAGTGGGAGCTAAGCTATGAGGACATAAAGGCATAAAAAGTGATCCAGTGAACTTTGGGGACTTGGGGGAAAGGTTGATAGCGAGGTGAGGGATAAAAGACTACACATTGGGTACAGTGTACACTGCTCAGGTGATCAATGCACCAAAATCTCATAAATCACCATTAATCACAAATAATCATCCTAAAAAAATAAAGTTTGGGGATTATTTATATATGAGTAAGATACATTCCCTGCCCTCATGAAATGTATGATTTAATTGTAGTGTTATATGTGTCTAAATGCAGATACATAAATAACTATTTCTAGCACAATACAGAATAGCCATATGAAAATGGTGCAGGAGTGCACAGAGAGGGGGTGGTTGAGTATGCCTACACCACCTGGGACTTGACTGACCCAGATCCCACCTGGGATCTGGGACTTGAAGGGTGACTGAAATCTCATTGGTTGGAGAAAGCCATGAGGGATATTCTTTCCATAAAAAAGGAACAGCCAGGACAATGGATTGAATGCAAGAATATATGTTTCATATGATCTTTAGCTAATTCTGGAAAGGAAAATCCATTAAAGGGCCACCTTTAGAGCCTAATTTATTGTGGGATATAGGAGTTTGAGCTATTCCAGAAGACCTCTTGTTTTACTTATAAGTTATTTCTATACTCTATAAAAGATTATCTCTCTAGTTGGATAATGAATACTTTCCAGGCAGGAAAAAATCTTATTCATCTTTATTTTTCCAAGCATGCCAAGCCTTTTCCAGGAACCATTTGTATTGATATCATTGTCTACATTCCAGAAGAGCAAGTCTTTCCTGGCAACAGGAACAGTACAGCGAATAACAGATGTCAGGATTCTCCTATTTTAAAGTTTTAGCCATCAATGGAAAATATTGAAAAACATAATTTGTCCTTAAATTCTTCATTTCTGAGTCAGAACATCAAAAATATTTGTGATATACTTCACATGGGCTTTTGCAGGCTTGATGAATTTTGGGGCCTCTCTGTCATATTTTGGATATATTCTCCTAATAGAGAACGTGTCTTTATTGTAGGCCATGCCCTTTTTACACAAAACCATCTGTTTAAAATAGGTGGCTGTTACATTCCACTTACTCCCTGGCAAATGTAAAATGAATCATTGTATTTTATTTAACAGGTATAGACTGAATCTTTAACATATGCTAGACGTAGTTCCTGATGCTGCGAACAAGGCACCTAGTGAACAAATACGTGGTCCTTACTGTTAGAGAACCTAGAGTTTACTGTGAGTAGAACAGGTAAAAATAATATATACAACTAAATTAATGAGATTATTTTGGATAGTGATACATACACTCATGAAAAGGAAACAGTGAAGTAATTAAGAGTAATAGGGAGTTGGAGTGATCTAGTTTTACATTGTGTGGTCAGGAAAACTTATCTGAGATTGGAATGACAGGAAAGACTCATCATTATGGATCATGGAAAGGAGTTTGGAAGCCATTACAGGGTTTTATCCAGGGATGTAAAATGATCTCATTTACAGTTTAAAAAGCTCAGTCTGGCTACTAGGCAAAGAATGGGTTGTAGAAGTTTCAAGATTATGAGCAAAAGATCAGTTATTGCCTGAGTCCAGGAAAGAGGTGATACTGTTTAAACTAAGATGGTAGCAATGGAGATAGAGAAGAGGAGAAAGATTCTCCACATATATTGTAAAAAAAAATATGGCAGAACTTTGAGAGGAATGAGAGAAGTAAATGAATCAAGGACAATTTATGACTACCTGTATGAATCTTGGAAACATTTCTGAGCTGGAGAAAACTAGGGACAAATGCATTTTGGAATATAAATCAAGAATTCTACTTTGATCATACTGAGTTTGAGATGTCTCCTAGACAGGTAAATGGGATATTAAGTAGGCAATTAGATATGCAAGTCCTAAGTGCAGTGGAGAAATCAGAGCTGGAGACAAATACTTACAAGTTATGGAAATCATCGATAGTATTTAAGCCAGGGAGTGGGTATCACCCCAAATTAGCATATAGATAGAGCAAAGTGGATGCATAGGAATGAACCCCAGGGCACTCCAACTTTAGAGGCCAAGCAGCTGAGTGGGGATTGGCAAAGGAAAATGGGAAGGAGTGACCAAGGAAGCAGGAGGAAAACACAGAGAAATCTGTGGCACAGAAACAAAGGAAAGTGAGTGAGTGAATAAAGAAGGCACAGTCAATTGGGTCAAACACTACTGAGAGGCTGAGTTGGATGAAGACAAAGAAGTAGCCATTGGATTTAGCAACACAAAGGCCATTAGTACCGCTGGCAGGAGCGATTTAGAACATAAACCCAACTGGAATGTGTTGTAACAGAGAATAGGAGGTAGCAAGGACAAAAAACTATATGTTTTCAAGAAGGTTTTATAAAAAGGGGAGAAGATATGTAGCCATACCTCAAGAGACACATGTAATATCAAGGGATTTCTCTCTCTCTCTCTCTCTATCTCTGTATATATAGAATATTTGCACACATATGGAGAATATTTACATTCTATATACCCACATATATGTATTTAAATTTATGTTTTCTTTTTTAAGATGCAAACTATTAGAGAGTAGTCTATTTGTTTCCTAAACAAATGACCCAGTTGAAAGGATTGGGTTGATGACCGTGTCAGTTATTGATTTATTACCTCTTGACTCCAAATTTGCCTTTGTATACATTCTCTGCAATCATGGACAGAAGTGCCTTAAGCACCATCCTGTATAGTGAGCACTTTGCTAAGCTTTCTCAGCAGAGGGCTTGGGAGGGGCATTGCAGAAAGAAGGAACTCTCCTGCTGTTTCTGGTGGCCGTGCAGTAGGCTAGTGTTTTTGGTATGGGGACATCCAGTAGGGCTCTTCCCCAGCCATGTTCCCAGAATAAGCAATCTTTTGGCAACCTTGCAGCCTCATCCTGGCCTGGCAATAACCTTTCCTAGCCTTCCACATTGGCTACAGCACCCCAGCACTCCCTGTATGTGAAGGCCTACTGCTTGCATGGGCACTCGATTCCCCATGCAGGCCCCCTGCACAGCTCATCTTTGTCCTAGGCCCTCACCTACTTGTTCACACCCCTGGTTCATGATTGCCTGAACCCTGCCTGGACTATGGAGGATTCCCTTCTGCTTGTCCAGCAACTGCAGACCCGCTCTAGCCTGGGAAAACCAACGATCTCTGCTTTCCAGTGAAATGAACTATACATTTCCCAATAAGGCTGAACGGCAGCCTTGGGGAGGGACCTTCTTTCAAGTTTTTTTTGGACACCGTCCCTCAGCCTTAGGCATACCACATAGAGATTCCTTTTATCTTATAGTCACTCATTTATCAGAGTTTAGTAATTCTTTATATCAAACTTTCCCCGTTTGGCCCACTGGGTGGTTTCTACCTCCTCATTGGACCCAGACTGTTAGTTACAAGGATGAGAAAGATTATAACTGTAAGGATTCAGCACAAACTGGTACTTAGAATATACTTTTTATTTTTTTTAAATACCCTCTCTTGAAAAAAATACCTCACCTTGTCAGTTTCTTTTCAGTATATTCTTTAATATGCTTGCCTCTTGTTAATAATTTCCCTTGGACATTTTTACAATGTTTTTTCTTTGTGGAGTATTTTTCCAAAATATTTAAGAATCCATTCAGCTCCAAGGGCTATATGTCAGTCATTTTTACTTTTTCCCTCTGTTGGAAGAACAACTTGTACTTTCGATATATATATATACTGGCCAATCATCTCAGACAAGAAATAAACATATGAAACATCACACAGACATTGCCACAGTGTGTATATTGATTTGGTTTTCAGAAGAACCATTAAGCCTTCATGGATTGCCCCTAGAAAGTGCTAACTTCTGAGAATTATCATTCTGAATGTATCTTTCTATCTGAGCTCACGTTCCCTTTTAGAGTTCACATATTACAAACATATATCTTCTTTTTCTTTTCTTAAAAAAAATCTCTGGGTCACATTCAAATTTTAGTTTCTGTGCTAAAATTATAGTGCTCTGTGTTCCTTTTAAATATTCTGCCCCTTTTGCAAGATCTTCAATACCTTTTATCCTTCCTTACCTCAAGTAGAAAGGGGTAGTGGAAAGTCACTCTATTAATAGAAGAAAGCAGGTGCTGTTCTACCATTCCTGGAGCTTCACAACCCTTGTTCATTCTTACCTTAGCAGCTATAGTAGTCCATGGTGATGCTTGAGTTAAGGTACTGCTCCCCCCTCCCTTTATTTCCCCCTCTCTTCTTCACTCTCTTCCTCTCTTTCATTCCCTCTTTCTTATTTTCCCTCTCCCTTCCTTCCTCCCTCAACTACCCACCCATTATAATTAGGATAAAATTTAAACTCCTTGCCATAGGTAATAAGGCCACATAAGATCTAGCTCCTGCTTGTTTCTCTAACTTCTCAAGCCTCTGTCTTCCTCCATTTTGTCTCACGGCTGCCTCCTTTTTATCTTTTCTATCCCACTTTCAATGCTTCTCTTCTGAGATGCTTTTCTAAATACCTAGTCACCTCCATCACCACCATGCCGTTACCCTATCACTGATGTGATATGCTTTGTTCATATGACTTTATCATGAACTGTGGAATAATTTTATGTCTTTTTTGTTTATTATCTTTTTCCTTTATTAGAATATAAAATCTTTGATGGCAGAGATATCATTTGTCTTTTTGATGACTATATACCTAAAGACTAGAACAGTTCCTGGCACATGGTAGGGATTTAAAAAAAAATGTTGACCATCTGAGTGTATGTGGGGCATTGGACTATGAACTGTGATTATTGGCAAATAAATAGAAAATGTATTATCTCCTGCTGCCCCCAAAAAACTGGATAAACATATTTAAGTTGCCCTATTGTAATTGTTTTTTTCCAGATGCAAGTACTATTGCCATTCTTACTATTGGGTCAGGGGCCTGGTGGTATCTGGGGCATGATGAAGGGTACAAAATTAAGGAAGAATATGGTACCAAACTGCTTGACAATAATCACATTGCTCTATTCAACTGAAATTCTCATATCCAACACTCTTTTTTGATCAAGTCTTGGGAAGGCCTATTAAAATGCAAATGAAAGTGATTAAAATGTTAACCTACATGTGTAGATTATAGGGACCATTGTTATTGATTATCTACTTAATAGCTTTCAGACAATAGTGGCTCGCAAAGATGTTTTAAGCCGTGGAATTTTTTCAAACAAAAAGCTCACCCAGGATTCCATATACATATAGGTAAGAATGACTGATATTCTGGCTGAAGCAGTGGTATTGGAACTGGTACTCTGCCCCATGGGGCACCTCTCCTGACTCCTGCCCCTCAAGGTAGTGCCCAAAGTACCACATGAGACCCAGAGAGCTGAAGATACTTATCCAGTCTTTTGTTGTTGTTTTTTGAGGCTGGGTCTTGCGCTGTCACTCTGGCCGTAGTGTAGTGGTGTGCCACTGCAGCGTCAAACCCCTGGACTCAAGTGACCCTTCCACCTCAGCCTCCAAATGAAGAAGGAATTAGTGAAATCAACTATAAGCTAATAGTAGTAGTAATAGATATTTTAAAATCCTCTTAAAGCTGCTGCAAAGTGTGACCCCTCACCCCCACACTCAAGTTAAAAGGGAGTATTAACAGCCTGTCTTCTTTCTGTGGACAGTGGACCTTATCTATACTCCCCAACTCTACATTCCTCAAAGTTTATTATAGGCCCAGAGAGTGCCTGCTTACCTTCCTACATGGCTGCAGGGTCACAAGACTGATAAGTTTAGGTTGCAAGACCTGTTTCTCTCAAGATGTAAGAAATGTTGTAATGCTGCATTTGTTTCTTGCTTCTGTAACTCGCTTCCTGCCTCACATGGTTCCCGCCTTAAGATGTTTAAAAGTAGGAAAAGCCCTTTGTTTGGGGCTCAGACTATCTGGACCTATGTACGGCTGAGCCAGTGATCACCTTAATTTAATAAACTCTCCTGGACTTTTTTGGTCTCTCCAGTCTTTGACTGTCTTGCAACCCAAAGTGCTAGGATTACAGGTGTGAGCCACTGCACCCAACCCTCCAAAGTCTTAAAATGATCAACAGCAACAAGACTAAAGACAAACTTCCTGAATTCTAGTGGCCCGTGCTTTTACCTGTGTTATCCTATAAACCTGGATGAAAAATACTATAGAATCAGATTAGAGCCTAGTATCAGGAGTTCCTACAGAGAGAGAAAATTTAGAGGTTTTCAGGACCCACATGTCCTTGCTTAGAATTCTCTCTATGACTATGGGAGAATTGCCTCACAAGACTTCTCTTCTGACTTGGAAATTCATCTAGAGCTTGTCTTTAGTGATAGAAATAAACAAACAGGACTGCTTTCTCCAAATTTTTATTTTAAAATTACTTTATCACTCTGAGTTTTCATGCATCAGAGAGAACTTTTACCCATAGGTGTCTTGACTTCCCATTGGTGAAGAGGGGTATGGCTCTGATCAAGAAGGGTAGGCTCTTTTCATGAGTATTTTTAGTTTTATTTTTAAGTGGAAGCCCAGATTAGAAACATCTCATTTAGCTGAATTGGTGGCTTATGGATCAGCCATAATGTAGATTCTCTGCTCTTGCTAGTTGGGAATTCAGAGCCAAACACAGCATCTGGCCTGCTAGTAGACAGTCAATAAATTTTTTTACTTAAGTGAATGAATTTCAGACTTTTGTGTTATTTAACAAATATAGTTTAATAATATATTAATCTGATTTCCGACTACATGTTGAGGTGGGTGTACATTATTTGTGCCATATGCAATTGTTATATCCCAGGCATCAATGATACTCACACTGAGATCCTGGAAAATGTCCTTTATGATGAGATATTGAATGTAACCATGAAAGTCACTAAATCTTTCTGCATCATTGTACATCTCCCTGATGTTTTCTGTTTTGATGATAACCATAGTGTCTGGGCTTCTCAGAAGAAGATGCTGAATGGCTTTGTGGACATTGAGGGCCCTTCGGATAAAAACATCAATGGGAAAGGGTCTGAAATGCTGGCCCAGGGAAATAACAATGACAGTATTTTTTTCTCCTCCAGTTCTGTCAATGGCCCGGGTGAGGTACTCCATCTCTTTGACTGAATAGGTCATTGATCCTATCAAGGGATAACAATATTTTTGCCACTGGATGTTGATGTTCCTATCCAAATCCACAGCAAGCTGGTGTTGCAATTTTCCAGATTCATGCAGATCCACTGACTTCAGTGCTGATAACAAATAGGCAATCCCAAAATAAAAGGAGGATATAGTTACCAAGATTGAGTAGATATAAAGATGGAAGAGATTTGATTGGTATAATTAAATAAGCTAATCATGTCTAATTTATTATAGGTTTAGATGAGGGGATGTTTTTGAAAATTATTTGAACAGTCAAAAGTGTTACGTAGCATCTTGGATTAAGATGGTGGATAGGAGGCAGGACTAGCTTGCAGCTCTCACTCAGACAAACAGAGCAGCCTGTGGAGACTCACATCATGAACTTCTGCTCCAAGAACTGCCACAGGAACATACCAGGAAAGTCAGAAGAATCCATAGACCCTTTGAAGGAACAGGATCACCACTGCAGGCTCTCTGAGATGCTGAAAAACTGTGTCCCTAGGGCAAGTTTCCATCCTGCCTGTAGGACAGCAGCTGATGTGCTCTTGAAAGTGCCACCTGCTGGCTGGAGGCCAACGAACACAAAACCAGCACACTAAACAAAAACACAACCAAAGACCCTCACAGAGTCCACTTCACTCCCCTGCTAACTCCACTGGAGCAGGTGCTGGTATTCAAGGCTGCAAGACCTGAAGATGGGTCACATCCTATGGGATTCTTTGCAGACACTCTCCAGTACCAGCCCAGAGCCCAGTAGCTCCACTGGGTTGCGAGACTCAGGAAGCCCCATTCCTAGGGGAAGGGGGATTAAACCACATCAAGGGAGCACCCTGTGGGACAAAAGAATCTGAATAGCAGCCCTTGAATCCCAGATCTTCCCTCTGACATGTCTACCAAAATGAGAAGAAACCCCAAAACCAATTCTGGTAATATGACAAAACAAGATTCTTTAACTCCTGCAAAAGACCATACCAGTTCACCACCAATGGATCTAAACCAAGAAGAAATCTCTGAATTGCAGGAAAAATAATTTAGAAGGTTGATTATTAAGCTAATCAAGGAGGCACCAGAGAAAGGTGAAGTCCAACTTAAATTAAAAACATGATACAGAATATGAAAGGAAAATTCTTCAGTGAAATAGATAGTATAAATAAAAAACAATCACAATTTCTGGAAATCAAGGATACACTTAGAGAAATGCAAAATGCACTGGAAATTCTCAGCAATAGAATTGAACAAGCAGAAAAAAGAACCTCAGAGCTAGAAGACAAGGCTTTAGAATTAACTCAATCCATCAAAGACAAAAAGGATTTTAAAAAATGAACAAAGCCACCAAGAAGTTTGGGAGTATGCTAAATGCCCCAACCTAAGAATAATTGGTATTCCCAAGGAAGAAGAGAAATTTAAAAGTCTGGAAAACATATTTGAGGGACTAATCGAAGAAAATTTCCCTGGCCTTGCTAGAGATCTAGACATCCAAATACAAGCAGCTCAAAGAACACCTGGGAAATTCATCACAGAAAGATCATTGCCTAGGCACATAGTAATCAGATTATCTAAAGTCAAGATGAAGGAAAAAATCTTAAGAGCTGTGAGGCAAAGGTATCAGGTAACCTATAAAAGAAAACTTATCAGATTAACAGCTGATTTCTCAGCAGAAACCCTACAAGCTAGAAGGGATTGGGGTTCTATTTTAGCCTCCTTAAACAAAAAAATTATCAGTCAAGAATTTTGTATCCAGCAAAACTAAGCTTCGTAAATGAAGAAAAGATAGTCTTTTCGAGACAAATGCTGACAGAATTTGCCAGTACCAGCAAGCACTACAATAACTACTAAAAGGAGCTCTAAATCTTGAAGCAAGTTATCAAAGCACACCAAAATAGAACCTCCTTAAAGCATAATTCTCAAAGGACCTACATGAAATAATGCAATGAAAAGAAAAACAAGGTATTTAGGCAACAAGTAGCACAATGAATAGAATAGTATCTTATATCTCAATGCTAATATTGAATGTAAATGACCTGAATGCTCTACTTAAAACGTACAGAATGGAAGAATGGGTAAGAATTCACCAGCCAAGTTTCTGCTGTCTTCAGGAAAGTCACCTATTTAATAACACATAAGAACTCACATAAACTTAAGGTAAAGGGGTGGAAAAAGATATTCCATGCAAATGGGCACCAAAAGCAAGCAGGAGTAGCAATTCTTATATCAGACAAAACAAACTTTAAAGCAACAGCAGTTTAAAAAGACAAAGAGGGACATTATATAATGATAAAATAACATTCAACAGGAAAATACCACAATTCTAAATATATATGCATCTAACACTGGAGCTCCCAAATTTACAAAACATTACTAATAGACCAAAAAAAATGAGAGATGGCAATACAATAGTGGGGAACTTTAACACTCCACTGACAGCGCTAGACTGGTCATCAAGACAGAAAGTCAACAAAGAAATAATGGACTTAAACTATACCCTAAAACAAATGAACTTAACAGATATTTACAGAACATTCTACCCAAAAAGTGAAGAATATACATTCTATTTATCAGCACATGGAACATTCTCCAAGATAGAGCATATGATAGGCCACAAAACAAGTCTCAGTAAATTTAAGAAAATCAAAATTATATCAAGTACTCTCTCAGACCACAGTGGAATAAAATTGGAAATCAGCTCCAAAAGGAACCCTCAAAACCATGCAAATACATGGAAATTAAATAACCTGCTCTTGAATGATCATTGAGTCAACAATAAAATCAAGATGGAAATTAAAAAATTCTTTGAACTGAACCATAATAGTGATACAAGCTATCAAAACCTCTGGGATACAGCAAAAGTGATGTTAAGAGGAAAGTTCATAGACTTAAATGCCTACATAAAAGTCTGAGAGGGCACAAATAGATAAACTAATGTCATAGCTCATGGAACTGGAGAAACAAGAATAATCCAAACCCAAACCTGGCAGAAAAAAAAATAATGAAGATCAGAGCAGAAGTAAATGAAACTGAAACAAAAGTAATACAAAAATAAATGAAACAAAAAGCTGGTTCTTTGAAAAGATAAATAAAATTGATAAACCATTAGCAAGATTAACTAAGAAGAGAGAAGATCCAAATAAGCTCAATTAGAAATAAAACAGGAGATATTACAACTGATACCACAGAAATATGAAAGATTATTCAAGGCTACTGTGAACACCTTTAAGCACATAAACTAGAAAACCTAGAGGGGATAAATTCCTGGAAATATACAACCCTCCTAGATTAAACCAGGAAGATATAGAATCTCTGAACAGACCAGTAACAAACAGTGAGATTGAAATGATAGTTAAAAAATTGCCAACACAAAAAGTTCAGGATAGATTCACAGCTGATTTCTGTCAGACATTCAAAGAAAAATTCAAACAAATCCTATTCACACTATTCCAAAAGACAGAGAAAGAGGGAATCCTCCCTAAATAATTCTATAAAGCCAGTATCATCCTAATACCTCAACCAGGGAAGGACACAACAAAAAAGAAAACTACAGACCAGTAACATCCCTTATGAACATAGATGCTAAAATCCTCACCAAAATACTAGCTAACCAAATCCAATGGCATATCAAAAAGATAATCCACCATGATCAAGTGGGTTTCATACCAGGGACGCAGGGATGGCTTAACATACGTAAGTCAATAAATGTGATACACCATATAAATAGAATTAAAAACAAAAATCACATCATCGTCTCAGCAGACACAGAAAAAGCATTTGAGAAAATCCAGCATCCATTAGGATTAAAACCCTCAGCAAAATCAACATAGAAGGGACATACCTTAAGGTAATAGAAGCCATCTACAACAAACCCCTAGCCAACATAATACTGAATGGGGAAAAGTTGAAAGCATTCCCTCTGAGAACTGGAACAAGACAAGAATGCCCATTCTCACCACCTATCTTCAACATAGTACTGGAAGTCCTAGCTAAAGCAATCAGACAAAAGGAAGAAATAAAGGACATCCGAATTGGTAAAGAGGAAGTCAAACTGTTGCTGTGGCTCATGATATGATAGTATACCTAGAAAACCCTAAAGACTTATCCAAAAAGCTCCCAGAACTGGTAAATGAATTCAGCAAAGTTTTAGGATACAAAATTAATATACACAAATCAGTAGCTCTGCTATACACCAACAGCAACCAAGCCGAGAATCAAATCAAGAGCTCAACTCCTTTCACAATAGCTGTAAAATAAAATAAAATAAAATAAAAACCTTAAGAATACCTAGCCAAGGATGTCAAAGACCTCTACAAGGAAAACTACAAAACACCGCCCAAAGAAATTATAGATGACATGAATAAATGGAAACACATCACATGCTCATGGATGGGTAGAATAAATATTGTGAAAATGACAGTACTGTCAAAAGCAATCTACAAATTCAATGCAATTTTCTTCAAAATACCACCATCATTCTTCACAGAACTAGAAAAAACAATTCTAAAATTCATATGGAACCAAAAAAGAGCCCACATAGACAAAGTAAGACTAAGCAAAAAGAACAAATCTGGAGGCATAACATTACTGGACTTCAAACTATACTATAAGGCCATAGTCACTGAAACAGCATGGTACTGGCATAAAAATAGGCACATAGACCAATGGAACAGAATACAGAACCCAGAAATAAAGCCCAATACTTACAGCCAACTGATCTTTGACAAAGCAAACAAAAACATAAAGTAGGGGAAGAACACCCTGTTCAACAAATGGTGCTGGGATAATTGGCAAGCCACATATAAAAGAATGAAAGTGGATCCTCATCTCTTACCTTATACAAAAATCAACTCCAGATGGATCAAAGACTTAAATTTAAGACCTGAAGCCATGAAGATTCTAGAAGATAACATTAGAAAAACCCTTCTAGACACTGGCTTAGGCAAAAACTTTATGACCAAGGACCCAAAAGCAAATGCAACAAAAACAAACATAAATGGATGGGACTTAATTAAACTAAAAACTTCTGCATAGCTAAAGATATAATCAGCAGAGTTAACAGACAACTCACAGAGTGGGAGAAAACCTTCACAATTTATACAGTCAACAAAGGGCTCATATCCAGAATCTACAAAGAACTCAAAGAAATCAGCAAGAAAAAAAAAGTCCCATCAAAAAGTGGGCTATAGACATGAATAGACAATTCTCCAAAGAAGATATACAGATGGTGAACAAACATATGGAAAAATGCTCAATATCACTATCAGGGAAATGCAAATCAAAACCACAATGTGATACCACCTCAGTCCTGTAAGAAAGGCCATATTCAAAAAAAATCAATAATGTTGGTGTGGATGCAGTAAAAAGGGAACACTTTTACACTGTTGGTGGGAATGTAAACTAGTGTAACCACTAAGAAAAACAATGTGGAGATTCCTTAAAGAACTAAAAACAGATCTACCATTTGATCCAGCAATCCTGCTTCTTGGTATCTACCCAGAGGAAGAAAAGTCATTATACGAAAAAAATACTTGTACACACATGTTTCTAGCAGCACAATTTGCAATTGCAAAAATAAGGAACCAGCCCAAATGCCCATTAATCAATGAGTGGATAAAGAAGATGTTTATATATATATATATACATATATATATATAAAGTTATATATATATATATATACATATATATATATAAAGTTATATATATATACATATATATATATAAAGTTATATATATACATATATATATAAAGTTATATATATACACATATATATAAAGTTATATATATATAATGTCATAAATATATATGTGTCATATATATATATATATATAAAATGTTATACACACACACTGTGGAATACTACTCAGCCATGAAAAGGAATGAAAGAATGGCATGTGCAGCAACCTGGATGGAATGGGAGGCTATTATTCTAAGTGAAGTAACTCAGGAATGGAAAACCAAGCATCGTATGTTCTCACTCATATGTGGGAACTAAGCTATGAGGACGCAAAGGCTTAAGAATGATACAGTGGACTTTGAGGACTCGGAGGAAAGGGTCAGCGTTGGCGAGGGATAAAAGACTATACATTGGGCACAGTGTACACTGCTCGGGCGATGGGTGCATCAAAATCTCAGAAATCACCACTAAAGAACTTATCCATGTAACCAAACACCACCGGTTCCCCAAAAACCTATTGAAATAAAAAACTTAAAAATTAAAAAAGTGTTATGTAAATGTGAAAGATTACGTGCACGCCACCTTATAGAATCATGTGGAATCTAATGGAGTGGGGATGGAAAGGTAGTGAGGTAACTTCCTTGGAGGATTATGTGGTCAGTTTTGTAGATATTATTTTTGTACATTTTGTTGATTGTAGACTAAGCTCATTTGAGGCTAGAGGAAGGTACTAATTGGTCTTTACATAAAAAACAAGTAAACCCTATTTCCCCAGCCACTCTTTAAATTCCCTCAAGACTGAAATTATATTCTGTACTTCTGTGTTTCCTTCACATATGCTTGGGATAATATTAAGTGCCATATCTATAATAATAAGTATTACTAGTCATTTGTGGAACCCTTTACGATATACAAAGCATTTATTTGGACTGATCTATCCATTCACCTCAAGGATCCTCTCATGTATATTTAATTGACACATGAATAGAATAAAATGAAGTTCTTCCATTTTCATCACATTAATTAGACTTTTATCAGAACATCAGGGCTAACTGCTTTGTAGTTAGAACTTTTGAGGAAAATGTTCAGAGGAGGATTATTGATGCTTTGTAACATGGGATTGTCTTAGAAGCAAAGGGCTACATTTGAAGACTTAACCCAGTGAGGCTGGAAAACAGAGATGCTGTAGGGTGAGTTGGAAGAAAATGGCAGAGTTATTTTCTTCACTCTGCTTCCAACTTACTTCAGTTTTCTTTTCCAAATCACACTCTGGCCATAGAATTTAACTTTTAACACAATGTACAACAGTTGTTTTTCTATGACAAATTAAAAGATGAGTCGAAGAGGGTAGGTAACTCCATAACTCAGTCCTTTATATGACCCAAGAGAATCACTGTTACAGAATGTGATGCTAAAGGCTGTTACTAGACCCTGAATTTTGTAGATGAGGTAATTGAGGTTTCCCTAGGAGTTTAGTCATTTACCAGAGATCACAATTTAAAGCTCTTCCTTCCATTGAGAATTTTTCTTATAACTTAGAACTAAGGCCCTACCAATTTTCCCACTTTCATTGGATCAACTTTCCTTCTAAGTTTGAGATCATGAGTGGCCTCATTTTAGGAAGGCCAGGATGGAGCCACAGCTACTGCAATTCTCTCAGTGATGAGAGCCAGGATCCGGGGTCATAGAGGGGTAGACAATAATGGTTTTGTAGGTGAGATGGCTAAGGTCTACTAGCAAATTCTGAGCTATTACTGGTGCGCTCTTGGTTTAGTAAATAGAGCAACTGAACTAGGATTTTAGCAACTGGGTTTTATCCCTGACCCTTAAATTAAGTAATGATAACAATTGCAATGGCTGTTGTTTTTTTGGGCACTTTCTGTGTGCCACTATGCCTTGCAATGTGTTAAACACTTTATATCCATTACTTCATTTAATCTTCTATACAGACTTGTACTTGTATTAGTCTGTTTGCATTGCTATAAAGGAATACCTGAGGCTGGGTAATTTATAAGGAAAGGAGGCTTATTTGGCTGATGGTTCTTGCAGGCTGTACAAGCATGGCATCGGCATCTGTTCAGCATCTGGTGAGGCCGGGAAGCTTTTAGTCATGGCGGAAGGGAAGGGGAGCCAGTGTGTCACATGGTGAGAGAGGGAGCAAGAGAGATGCCAGGCTCTTTTAAACAACCAGTTCTCACATGAACTGACAGAGCGAGAACTCACTCATTACCATGGGGAGGGCACCAAGCCAGTCATGAGAGATCCACCTCCGTGACCCAAACACTTCCCACTAGGTCCCACCTCCAGTGTTGGAGATCATGTTTCAACATGAGATTTGGAGGGGACAATCAGTCAAACTATATCACTATTATTATTCCTGGTTGATTGGTGAGAAACACCAGGCAGGGAAAATAAATAACATGCCCAAAGTCATTGTTTCTAAGTAGCATAGCCTAGATCTGTTAGACCCCAAGCCCATGCTTTACTTGTGTCTACCTGATGCAAAGTCTACCTCACTTCTGACATCTGTTCTCTTAGGTAATGATGACAGTAATGATACCTTACACCAAAGAGAAGTTATGTAAGAAACAATATTCTAAATGCACTGTATGCATTACCTCATTTTACTAGGTAGAAACTCTTTTCATCTTCAGTTGACAGATGAGAAAACTGAGGGATGGAATGGTTATGTAACTTGTTCAAAGTCACCCAGATAGGAGGTAGAGAAGTCAGGTTTTGAACCCAGGTTGTCTGGTTCTAGAATCATACCCTTAATCATTTTGCTGGTTCTAGAAGCTGGACAATTTAATATCTTACATTATCTTTGGTTCCATCAATAGTTTTTGGAGCCTACTGGGTACATACTGAAGTGTGAATTCTGCAGAGATAGGGATGTAATAAACCTTTTTCTACACTGCTTTCCTTCCAGTTAGATAGCTGTATTGTTTTTTTAAAGGAAGGATAACAATGCCTTGTGAAAAATTTTGGTGTGTTGTGATTGAAGAATATGAAAAAAAGAGGAATTTCCCATATTCCCTTCTCCCCTTTGAAATGGAAAAGAAGTTTCTGAAAGGGGTAAGAATTATAGCTTAGACTGAGGCATACTGTTGATACTGGCTTTGAAGTATTCCATCCACTGGCGGATCGTGGAATCTCCCATTAGGTATATGAGTTTTCCTCTCAGGCATTCCTTCATTTTGACTGTAGCCAAACTACAGGAGACAGGATTCCATGTGTTTCTCCAGACATGCCCACTGGGGATTGTGGATGTCATTCCAAACTTGCATTTCTCTTTCATTGCAACTGTTTCTTCTGCCAAAGAATCAATGAGATAGGATCTTCCAAAACATCAAATTACCCGTCAGTATGTATTAAGAGCCTTCTATCCTCTAAGTATCCTAAGAGGGGGTAAGGTGGTGGTAATGGTGGAAAAAGTATTACTGAAGTATTCTCTTAATGGAACAGCTGTTTTTTTAATAAAAATTTTTCTCTGATGTGAATTTCCTAAATAATGTTCATTAATGTTCGTTATAAGAGTATATGTTTCTTCCCAGAAAAAAAATGGCTTTCTGGAGGAAAATTTAAGTATTTTCCAGCTTTTCTATGAAACTAAAGTCATCAATTCTTGCATAGGAATGGAAGCTCAATTATCCTATCATTTTAGCTCACTTTACCCCTAAGTTTGTCACACTGTGTCTTAAATGACACCATCAAAATATAAATCCTTTGAGTTAAATAAAGGTGATATAAAAAATATTAACAACTAGTTTGGCTTGGGAACTGACCAATCCAAATGAATATAGCTATAGGCTGGAGAGTGTCTTAGAGGTCCAAGATGGGCCAAAGATGAACCCCTCAGTCACTGGTTTAGAAGAGTCTGGGAATCCACAGGTTGAGGTAGCCACAATGGTGAGGAGCCCGTGGCAGGTTTGATTATTAATCAACTGAGAGAAGTAGTTTAATATTTTAATAAGTGGGATGAGTGTACTCATGTATGTGTGGTAAAAATAACATTTCTACATCTAGGTACATATTTACACTTCAGTGTAAATAGGTTTATTAGTGATTAGCAAGGCTTTCTTTCTTTTTTTATGATTAGCAAGGTTTTAATGCTGAACTTGCAGAGACATAAAAGCTCTTGCCTTGAGTCGTTTTAGATAAGAATTTCCTAGGCTATTTGGATTCAAAGAAATTGGAGAGAAATTAGTAAATATAAGTGTGCAAGTTCTATTTTTTATGCTAACAATTGTTTGAAAGGTGGCAAAGATCAAGAGGGAGGGGTTATAATAAACTGACACTCAGATGGCAGGTTGGAAACCTCTAGATGGTGATGGGCTAGTGGTGATATGGGAAGAGGTGATGGGAGTGGTATGAAGAGAGGTGTTGTGGTGAGGTAAAGAAGTGGGTATAGAATTGGGAAAGAGTTAACGTTTAAAGGTTGTTGTATAAAATGGGCAGGGAATTCACTGACTGACAAATAGACTGATGATGAGAGTTACAGTTACTAAAATAGGCTTATGATATTCCAGTGATTGAATTATTCACTCACCTAGGTAACTGGTGTCTTGGCCAACCTTAGATAAGCCAGATGAACAGAGTGCTGATAGGACTGAAACAGTGAACAAATCCAGTAGAAAGAAGAAACCCTTTAAATGGGTCTAGAACTAGGCACCACCCACCAAACACAGGAGTACTTACTGTTGCATTTGGAGACACTAATTGTATTGAATTTTTCCATAATCTCTACACCCACATTTGACCTTAAAGACACAAATACAGAAATTAATCTGTAGGTGGCCTCAAATCAGGAAACATACAGAAACTAGATTATCCAGTGCCTCAGTTATTTCTTAGAGATAAGTCAATTATTATGCCTACAGTTTCAGGCCATTTAGTAAATTTCCATTTCTTTGCCTATTAGGCTATGGGATACAGTTACCCAGAAGGTATGCAAGAGAATTTGTTGAGTTGCAGAAATAATGTATTAGAGCACACACACATACACACATGTGCATTTCTCATTTTCTTCTAGTTTTTATTCTGTATATATTTTTTTCCCATTGATAAGAATTAAATGTTCAAAAAGTTTGTGGATTACTAGAGAATGGGCACTGTCTCTAAATGAATTCACAGATCCTTTCCCCAAAGGCTCTTACTAAAGACACCCAAAATTAATACACTCACAAGACTTTTCTTTGGATCAGTATATAGGCCAAATCACAATATTTGCACAGGTAGTCTCAAGAAGTAATTATTTTTACCTTTCAAAGAGGCTCTTTTCTTGTTTGCTAAGATAAGAAACTTTCTTGTTCTTAGAATACATGTGAGTGAGTGCAGCACAGGGCATGTGTTGAGGCCTCACACAGTAGAAGCCTTCTTGGTCTCTGTTGTCCAGGTACTGGCACAATTCAGCATTTGTGTTTAGGATCAGGCCACATTCAGAGTGGACTTGGGAAGTGCCATTGACAAACTGGCCAGTGAAGATCACCCTGTCATAGCCTTGGTTCCTTGCACTCCAGAGAGCTGACACCCCTTCACTGGGGTGGATGAGCAGCAGAGACAGAGAGACCTGGCCCTCCCAGAACAGAGTGAAGCTGACCAGGTAGGTGCCGTTGTTGAAGTCAGTCACCTTTCCTGAAGCACCTGCCATCAGCGCTGGGGAAGACATCCTGGCCCTCAGGAAATCCCCGCCATATTGCTTCCTGCGTCCCAAGTGGTCCCTCACCTCCAGCAGGATGTGCAGCTGGTCTCCCCTGCAGTACGTATCTCGAGGGTTGAGGATGGTGGCTGTGCTATGTGTGGCGCTGGTGGTGGTGTTCACGTGGGTGAAAGGTCTGGGTGGGATCTGCTGATCTAGTTTCTCTATGATTTCCTTTATTCTGAGTTCAGTCTCTGTTAGTGGCTTTAATGATATCAGTGGTGTTTTAGGGAATAAGGACTTTGTGGAGTTGTTCCAGTAATGGAGGGAGATGGATAAGTTTAGAGCAGACCAAACCTGAAATGACAGCAAATGTGACATGAGATGGATAAATTTAGAGCATATCTGAACTGAAATGACAGGAAGTGTAACATGCTATGAAATTAACATGTTCCTAGTCATTTTTACTTATTGTGATTTTGAATATTGATTTACATACTATTATCAATATTATTTAAATTCTCCAATAAAAAGGCATAGAATGGAGATTGACTGACAGGAGAGACAGAGGGACAGGAAGTGAGCAAGATGGCGCAAAGGCAGGGCACCAGGAGGAAAGTCTGTTACTACTACGATAGGGGTGTTGGAAATTACTATTATGGACAAGCCCACCCAAGGAATCCTCACTGAATCTGCGTGACTCATAATTTGCTGCTCAACTATGGTTTCTACTGAAAAATGGAAACCCATCACCCTCACAAAGCCAATGCTGAGGAGATGACCAAGTACCACAGTGATGACTACATTAAATTCTTGTGCTCCATCTATCCAGATTACGTGTCTGAGCACAGCAAGCGGATGCAGAGATTCAACGTTAGTGAGGACTGTCCAGCATTTGATGGCCTGTTTGACTTCTGTCAGTTGTCTACTGGTGGCTCTGTGGCAAGTGCTGTGAAACTTAATGAGCAGCAGATGGACACTGCTGTGAATTGGGCTGGAGGCCTGCACCATGCAAAGAAGTTCAAGGCATCTGGCTTCTGTTATGTTAATGATACAATCTGGGCCACCTTGGAACTGCTAAAGTATCACCAGAGGGTGTTGTATGTTGACGTTGATATTCACCATGATGATGGCATGGAAGAGGCCTTCTATATTACAGGCTAGGCCAGGACTGTGTCCTTTCATAAATATGGAGAGTACTTCCCAGGAGATGGGGACTTATGGGTTATTGGGGCTGGCAAAGGCAGATATTATGCTATTAACTATCTGCTCCTAGATGGGATTGATGATGAGTCCTATGAGGCCATTTTCAAACTGGTCATGTCCAAAGTAATAGAGATGTTCCTGTCTAGTGTGGTGATCTTACAGCATGGCTCAGATGCCTTGTCTAGGGGTCACTTAGATTGCTTTAATCTGATCATCAAAGGGCATGCCAAGTGTGTGGAATCTGTCAAGAGTGTCAACCTGCCTATGTTATTGATGGCAGAAGGTGGTTACACCATTTATAATGTTGCTCAGTGCCCTGGAAATAAGAAAGAGCTGTGGCTCTGGATATGGAGATCCCTAATGAGCCTTCATACAATGATTACTTTGAATACTTTGGACCATATTTCAAGCCCTACATCAGTCCTTCCAATATGACTAACCAGAACACTAATGAGTACCTGGAGAAGATTAAACAGTGGCTGTTTGAGAACCTAGTAATGCAGGCCCATCCACCTGCAGTCCAAATGCAGGTGATTCTGAGGATGCTGTCCCTCAAGAGGGTGGCGATGAGAATGAAGAAGACCCTGACAAGCTCATCTCCATCCGTTTCTCTGACAGATGAATTACCTGTGAGGAAGAGTTCTTCGACTCTGATGAGGAGGGAGAGCGTGGCTGCAAGATCTCTCCCATCTTCAAAAAAGCCAAGAGGATTAAAACAGGATGAAAAAGAGAGACTCAGAGATGAAGAAATGTCACAGAAGAGGAGAAAAATGAAGGAGGAGAAGCCAGGAGCCAAAGAGGTCAAGGAGCAGGTCAAGCTGGCCTGAGGGAACCTCCCCTGCTCTGGCTTCCTGCCTAGTCCCCAATCTTTCTCTCCCAAACCCTCAGATTTTATGTCTTCTATTTCTCCAGGTATTCATATAAAATTTATTAAATATAAATAGTTCCAGGGACTAGACAGAAATTAAGACCCTGAGCCCAGGGCAGCTGTGCTGGGTGATCTCTTCTAGGAAATGCCTTGCCACCTATCCCTCTGCAGGTCTTAACTCTGAAGCATAAAAGGCGCCAGGTCTGGGTGAAGGGAATACTTTTGTGCAAACAGAAGACAAAATCCTGAAATGCCAAGTGCCTGCTTAGTAGCTTTGGAAAGGTGCCTTTATTGCACCTTCTAAAAGGGGTGTCTGGGTCTTCAAGGTTGCCCTGTTCTTTTCAGCTCCTAAGTAACATCAGCCATTTTTAGATTGGTTCCATTCTCATACCTTCTCACTGGCCTCAAGTGAGCCAAAAAACTCACACTGCCTGCCATCTGTCTTCCCCCAGTTCTGCAGGTGGAGGATGGTAGTCTAGTCTCCTGCCATCCTCCACCTGCAGAATTGGGGGAGTTTTGAGATACTATTTTTATTTTTGTGAGACTCTGTAATAAAATGGTATATTTCATTACTCCCTACCCCAAAGACAGAATGGTTGAGTAGATTTTAAAAAAACAAGACCTAACTCTATCCTTCTGCAAGAGATTCACTTCAGCTTTAAGGACACACATAGACTGAAAGTGAAGTAATGGAAAAAGATATTCCATGCAAATGGAAACCAAAAGAGAGCAGGAGTCACTATGCTTATATCAGATAAATTGGATTTAAGTCAAAAACTGTAAAAAGAGAAAAAGAAGGTCATTATGTAATAATAAAGAGATCAATTCATCAAGAGAAAATGACAAATATATGTACGTGTGTGTGTGTGTGTATATATATGTATATACATTCAACATTTAGAACACCTAAATATATAAAGGAAATGAAACAGGAACTAGAAAGAAATTATTTAGGTAGACAGTGAGGGTAAAGGAGTCCTTGGCAAGGCTTCCCTTTTTAACAAAAAGGAGCCCCCAAATCATTTCTTTTCTAACAAAGAGCAGCCTGAAAAATCAAGCTGCAAACATAGATAAGCCAGCTGAAAACTTGCATGGGTGAATGCTGGCGGCTGTGTCAATAGAAAAGGGCTACCTGAGGGCCAGGCATGTTCAACATGGAGGCTCCATCTTCCCTTTTCTTTGTCACCATGTGTACAGTAAAAAAGCAGGCAACATGGAGCTGGCCAGGTAGAGAACCCATCTGCATAATGAAAGATTAGAGTGGGACAGCCAGCTTCTTCATATGCTATGCAAATGGCACACCGAGTCCTAACCAGTTCTTTGTGTGCTATGCAAATGTTACACCTGGGGTGACCAATCTTTTTTGCCCTGTGTAAATCAGACACTACCTCCTCAAGCTCATCTATAAAATCTCCTGCACTTCACTGTGGACCAAAAGACCCACTTAAATCCCCTGTCTCTACAGAAGAGAGCTTTTCTCTTTCTTTTGCCTGTTAAACCTCTGCTCTTAAACTCACTCCTTGTATGTCCATGTCCTTGATTTCCTTGGAGAGAGACAATGAACCTCGGGTATTATCCCAGATGAAAAATGCCATTTCATTATGGGAGCCCACCTGGGATCCGAGGAAGATTCATAGAAGGGGGAGTATAGAAGTGGACCCCAACTCCTTCTTTTTATTTCAAGGCCTTCTGCTCTCCATTTAAAAATCAAACCAAATACTGGGCCCCCAATCAGCCATTTAAAAAGTTAGCGTGGCTACCAGCCTTACAAGACTCAGGGGACAGGCTTGCCAGGGAGAACTTAGCTAATCCCCCCATGTCCTCAGGGTGCTGGGAATGTTGGCTTTGTTTCTAATTGGTTTCCTTTTACAGAGAGCCTTGCTGTCATGTGGGGCTGGAAGAGGTTGAGAGGCACTGAAGGTTCCTTGCCAGGGAGACACCCTGGTGTTACCTGAAGGTTTCTGGACTAATTCCAGCCTCCAACAGCCTGATGGGTGATGGCAACAGGATCTGCAAGCTTTTTCTATTGCAAATTTTCTCCTTTCCTATCCGCAACTTCCATGTCTCCTATCCACTCTCTGTATGCAATGCTTTAAAAATTTTTACAGTTCGGTGAAGTAATCCTCTTAGGCAAGATAAGGAAATGCCATAATGCCTGGGAATATAGCTCATGGGATTGCCGTTTTTGTGATTTTCTAGGCACAGAGGTCCTCCTTCCCTCCCCACACCCCCTGTGAACATCTCTCTCTTTACCCTTGGTCTGGAGAGCACATGGTATTTCAAGGTCAACAGCATCACCTAGTGGAACGGGAACCCTATTCCATGAGGCATATTGTTGGCCCTTTGCGGAAACACTCTTAACTTCCTAATTCTCGCTTTTTTTGCCCCTCTACAAGAGACCAGGCTTTATGCTCCTTCTTTGAACAAGAAAACTCTGTCTTCAACAATGAGGGGAAAAAGGTCCTCCAAAACCAAATTTTAGTCTGAACATGGTCCCATCAGCAGGAAAACAACCATTTGGTTCCTACGTTCTTTTAAGGCACCTATTCTGCCTCCAATTAAAATGGTACTTAAATAGTAAGAGGAATTTAATTCCGGAAGTTAACCAGAGCCACTGCCTAAGAATAAATACTTTAGTACAGGACATAATAGCAAATTGTACAGCTCAAACCTGCATTCTCTATTAAAGGGCATTACCCAAATGTAACTGTAACGAAGTCTCTCTCAAGATCCATCTATTGGAGAGTCATGCAGATCACACAAGTCTAGAAAGTCAAAGGGAAATCACCAGCAAAGGACTAGAGTCACATGGGTGAGCATGACTAATCCCAATCCATTGGTTCCTCTGGTTTCATTGCTATGGGTTATGCTTGCATCAATGGATGGCACCTTAAAAGATGCCAGGGCTCAGGGCGCCAAGGAGGGAAAACAGTTGGGGGGATGCCCCCACTGTCTTCCCCTCCACCCTAGGCCTTTCCAAAGGAAACGAAGGTGACTAAAGGGACACCTTTTTTCTTGCTTCTCTTTCTAGATGAATAACAGACCATCTTTGGTCTGCACTCCTCTGGAGTGCTTTCTGAAGCACTGGGATTCCTTTGACCCTGAGACTGAAGAAAAAGTGGCTCATTTTCTTTTGCATAAGGGTGTGGCCTTCTTACCATCTTGAACCATCCTGGCCTGCAGAGGGGAGCCTTAATTTTAATACTATCCAACAATTAGATATTTTCTGTAGATGGGACAGCAAATGGTCAGAGGTCTCTTAGGTACAGGCTTTCTTTGCCCTGTGAGACAACCCAGAACTTTGCAAGCATTGCACAATCAGCTCAGCTCTTTCAGCAGTCATATCAGGAGGGCCCAAAGGGAATGATTCCCCAAAACTAGAGAAGCAACCTCCAGGGAACTATCTGAGGCAGCTATTGAGTGTCCAGGCCCTTCTTGTCCTCCCTCTCTGGGGCCCCCTCCAGCTGTGCCATCAGGTCCTTTAGCTCCACCATCTCCAAAACTCCCCACTCCCCTAGCTTCACTCTTATCCTTACAGGAAATGCTCAATGGAGGTGATGTCACTAGGGTTCCCTTCTTATTGCAGGATCTTAGACAAATAAAGGGAGACTTAGGCCAATTTTCTGATGACCCTGATAAGTATATAAAAGCTTTCCAAAATTTAACTCAGGTGTCTAACCTCTCATGGAGGGATGTTATGCTGCTCCTAAGCCAAACCCTAACTGCAGCTGAAAAACAGGCAGCTCTGCAGGCAGGGGAGAAATTCAAAGATGAGCAATATGTCTCCTATAGTAGGCCAAAAGGGAAAAAAGAATATAGAGAAAATGAAGAAATAGGGGAGCCATCATTCCCAATACGAAGAGAGGCACTACCTCTTGACAACCTTGTTTGGAACCCCAGTGACATCACAGATGAATAGAAAAGGAAACACTTTTTAATGTGCATATTGGGGGGCCTATGAAGAACTAAGGCCAAACCTCTTAACTACTCTAAACTGTCCATGGTAGACCAAAATCCAGGTAAGAATCCCACAGCCTTTATGGAAAGGCTGAAAGAAGCACTAATAAAACACACCTTCTTGTCCCCTGATTCAGTAGAGGGACAGCTCATCCTAAATGACAAGTTTATTACACAGGCAGCTCCCAATATTAGAAGGAAACTACAGAAGTAGGCTATAGGGCCAGATAGCATTTTGGAGAACCTCCTGAGGGTGGCCACCTTAGTCTTTTATAGTAGGGACCAGGAGGAGACCCAGGAAAAAGAGAGGAAACACAAGAGAAGGACTGAGGCTCTGGTAGCTGCTTTGCAGGCTTGCAAAGTCTGGGATCCCTGAGGTGCATCTGCGAGTTGCTATTGATGTGGGAAGTCAGAGGACTTTAAAAAGGATATCCAGGAAGCAAGAAGAAGCCACCTCGACCCTCTCTAGCCTGTGGTGGGGACCACTGGTGATCAGACTGCCCCCAGAGATGAAGGTCAACAGGTTCAGAACCAGTCTCAAAGATGGTCCAGCAGGACTGATGGGTCCTGGTGCTCAAGCCCTGGCTCCAGTGGCTCAAATTCCCATTACAGCACAGGAGGCCCAGGTAATTCTGGAAACTGAAGGAAGGAAGGTGGACCTCCTTCTGGACACCAGAGCCAGCCTCTTTTCTCCTCTATAATCGAGGCCTCCCCTTTTCCCATAGCATGAGGGGTGTGGGGTGTCTCATAAACACTCTGATATGTTTTTCTCAACCCCTTAGGTGCAGTTGGGGGGACATATTATTTACATGTGCCTTTTAAATCATGCCTGAAAGTCCCACTTCTTTATTAGGTAGAGACGTTCTAGCTTGCATGTGGGCCAGCATACTTATAGCCCCAGGAAAAACTCTTTTTCTCCTCTAGTGGAAGCTAATATCAATCCAGAAGTCTGGGCAACTCAAGGAAGAATAGGTTGAGTTGTAACCACTATGCCAGTCTGGATCTATCCTAATGATCCCACTTTTTTCCTAATCGGAGACAATATCCCCTAAAGCCAGAGGGTAAGAAAGGGCTAGAAGCCATTATTAATAACCTGAAGATGCAGGGCCTCCTTAAACCCTGTAACAGTCCCTACAACACCCCAATATTAGGAGCACAAAAACCCAATGCAGAATGGAGATTCATTAATGAGGCCATAGTCTCAATCCATCTGGTAGTACCTAATCCCTATACCTTGCTAATCCAAATGCCTGAGGGAACTAAATGGTTTACAGTCTTAGATTTAAAGGATGCCTTTTTCTGCATACTGTTACATCCTGACTCTCAATACCTGTTTGCCTTTGAAGAATGCTTCTGGCCAAACTGCCCAGTTAAAATGGATGGTGCTGCCTCAGGGATTTTGAGATAATCCCTCATTTGTTTGGACAGGCATTGTCAAAGGACCTCTCTGAGTTTTCCCATCCTCAGGTCAGGGTCTTGCAATATGTGGATGATATACTGCTCTGTGCCCCAACTGAGGAAACCTCTTGGGAAGGCACTGAAACTCTTTTTAATTTCTTAGCTGACAGAGCATATAAGATTTCAAAATCTAAGGCCCAGCTTTGCAAAACCTTGGTAAAGTACCTTGGTTTAGTGCTTCTGAAAGGACCAGAGCATTAGGGGAAGAAAGAATTAAGCCCATTTCCTCCTTCCCCCTCCCTAAAATCCTCAAGCAACTGACAAGATTTTGGGGCATTACAGGATTTTGCAGGCTATGGATACCTGGGTATGGTGAGATAGATCATCCTCTATATCACTTCATAAAAGAAACTCAAGTGGATAAAATTCATCTCCTAACCTGGAAACCTAAAGCTCAAAAGGCCTTTAGCCAGTGAAAGCAAGCCTTACTTAAGGTACCAGCCCTCAGCCCCTCTGTAGGGAGGGCCTTCAATCTTTATGTATCAGAAAGGAAAGGAATGGGCATGGGAATTTTAATTCAGGCCTGAGGACCAGCTCAACAACTAGTGGGCTACCTGAGTAAGAAACTTGATTTGCAGGTAAAGGATGGCCAGCATGCCTCTGAGCAATTGCCATATTGGCCCTACTGGTACTGGAGGTCATCAAATTAACCCTGGGAAATGGTTTAACTGTTTATGCCCCACACAATGTAGCAGGATTGCTGTCTTTTATGGGGAACCTTTGGCTAACAGTCCGTTGGCTCCTTAAATATCAGGCTCTGCTGTTAGAAGGGTCAGCAGTTCTGTTAAAAACTTGTTCTTGCCTAAACCCAGCCACTTTCCTCCCCAAGAAAACTGGGGAACCTGAACATGACTGTGAGCAAGTTGTGGTACAGATCTATGAAGCCAGGGAGGATCTCAGGGAAACTCCCCTGGAAAATCCAGACTGGACCATCTTCACAGATGGCAGTTCTTTTGTAGAGCAAGAAGTCCATAAGGCAGAATATCCAGTAGTCACTCTGAATGATGTTATTGAAAGTGCACCTCTCTATCCAGGCACAAGTGCTCAACTAGCTGAACTGACAGCTCTTACAAGAGCACTTGAATTAAGCAAGGGAAAGGTAGCTAACATTTACATTGACTCCAAGTATGCTTTCTTAATTCTCCATGCTCATGCTACCATTTGGAAGGAAAGACACTTTCTTACTACTAATGAATCTACTATAAATTACCACCAGGAAATTAACAGGTTATTATCCTCAGTTTTCCTTCCATGAGAGGTAGCAGTAATGCATTGTAAGGGACATCAGAAGGGAACAAATGAAATAGCTGAAGGAAACAAGTTAGCAGATCAGGCAGCCAAGTCAGCAGCAAGAAAGCCTCATGACATCAACTTGAAGCCCCTCTAACCTGGGAAGGCTTCATAAAAGAAATTAAGCCTCAGTACTCCCCTGCAAAAATAGAATGGGCCATTTCTCGAGGGTATACTTTCCAGCCCTCAGGATGACTACAGTCAGAATATGGCAAGCTGTACTTTCCAGCCTCCAGCCAATGGAAAGTCCTTAAAATCCTTCACCAAATATACCTCAAAACAATAAATTCCATGCCCCCTCATGGAATTCCAGGCCCCTGTATGATGTTTGCTAAAAGTAGTGGCCTACAAATCTGTAGGTGAACAGGAGATGTCTGGACTGACAGCCCTTGATGCAAGGATTATCTGAGATATTGACCAGGGTATATTATGTCCCTAATTTTTTGAAAGTCCATTTGTCAGGTGGCCCCTTCTCATTCAACAAAAATCATATAATCATCTCAATAGAAAAGACACTTGATAACATTCAACTTTGCTTCAGATAAAAATATCTCAACAAATTAGGCATGGAAGAAATGTACCTCAAAACAATAAAAAACATGTATAACAAATCCACAGCTAACATCACATTCAATGTGAAAAAGTCAAAAGCCTTCTGAGATCTGGAACAAGATATTTTTGAACACTTTTTCCAGTTTTATTCAACATAGTATTGGAAGTCCTAGCCAGAGCAATTAAGTCAGAGAAATAAATAAAGGGCATACAAGTTGGAAAGAAGGAAATTAAATTGTCCCTGTTTGCAGACCACATAAACTTATATTTAGAACACTCCATAGACTTCAGTGAAAAACTGTCAGAACTGATTTTAAAAACTCAGTAAAGTTGCAGGATACAAAATCAACATAAAAACATCAGTAACATTTCTATACACCAATACCAAACAACCTGAAAAAATATCAAAAAAGCAATTTCATTTACAGTAGCTACAAAAACCCTAGGAATAAATTGATCTAAAGAGGTGAAAGATCTCTACAATGAAAACTACAAAACATTGATGCAAGAAATTGGAGAACACACACACACACACTCACACACACACACACAAAATAGATATTCCATGTTAATGGGTTAGAAGAATAAATGTTAAAATGTTCAGACTACTAAAAGCAATCTACAGATTCAAGGCAAACCCTATCAAAATACCAATAATATTCTTCATCGAAATAGAAAAACAATTCTAAAATCTGTAAGGAAACAAAGAAGATCCAGAATAGCCAAAGCAATTCTGAGCAAAAAGAACAAAGCTGAAGGCAGTATATTACCTGACTTCAAAATATACTACAAAGTTATAGTAAACAGTGTTATACTGGCATAAATATAGTCACATACACCAATGGAACAGAATAGAGAACACAGAAATGAATCCACATATTTACAGCCATCTGGATTTTTGACAAAGTCATCAAAAACATACAATGGGGGAACAAAAGTATTTAAAATAGATGGTGCTGGAGAAACTGAATATCCATATGCAAAAGAATGAAATTAGACCATTTTCTCTCACCATATACAAAACTCAGTTACAAAATGAATTAAAGACTGATATGCATGACCCAAAGTATGAAAATACTAGAAGAAAACCTAGGGAATACTGTTCAGGACACTGATGTAGCCAGAGGATTTTTGGATAAGACCTCAAATGCACAGAGAAGAAAAGCAAAGATAGACAAATGGGATTATATAAAACTAAAAACTTCTTCACAGCAAAGGAAGCAATCAAGTGAGTGAAGAGTTAACCTACAGAATGGGAGAAAATGTTTGCAAACTATCCATCTGACAGGGGATTACTATCCAGAGTATTCAAGGAACTCAACCAACTCTATAGCAAAAATATTTAACAATCCAATTAAAAATTGGGCAAAAGATCTGAATAGACACTTACTAGAAGATATGCAAATGGCAAACAAGTATATGAAAAGGTGCTCAACATCATTGATCATCAGAGAAACACAAATCAAAACTACAGTGTAATATAATCTCACTCCTGTTAAAATGGCTTTTATCCAAAAGACAGATAGTAACATATGCTAGTGAGGATGTGGAGAAAAGGGAACACTTGTACACTGTTGGTGGGAATGTAATTAGTACAACCACTATAGAGAACAGTTTGGAGGTTTCTCAAAAAACTAAAAATAGGCTACCATATGATCCAGCAATCCCACTGCTAGGTATATACCCAAAATAAAGGAAATCAGTATATCCAAGAGCTATCTGAACTCCCATGTTTATTGCAGCACTGATAACAATAGCCAAGATTTGTAAGCAACCTAAGTGTCCATCAACAGACAAATACATAAAGAAAATATGGTATATATACACAACGGAGTAGTATTCAGTTATAAAAAGAACAAGATTCTGTCATTTGCAACAACATGGATGGAACTGAAGGTCATTATGTTAAGTGAAATAAGCTAGGCACAGAAGACAAACTTTGCATGTTCGTTTTTATTTGTGGAAGTTAATACTTAAAATAATTGAAGTCATGGAGTTAGAGAGTAGAATGATGGCTACCAGAGGCTGGGAAGGGTGGTGGGGGCATGGAGGAGAAGTGGGGTTAGTTAATGAGTACAAAAATATGATTAGACAGAATGAATAAGATCTAGCATTTGATAGTATAACAGGGTAACTACAATCACCAATAATTTATTTTACATTTAAAAATAGCTAAAAGAGTATAATTGTCTTGTTTGTAGCACAAGAAAGGATAAATTCTTGAGGCAATGAATACCCCATTTACCCTGATATGATTACTATGTATTATATGCTTGTATCAAAATATCTCATCTACCCCATAAATACATACACCTACTTTGTACCCACAAAAATTAAAAATTAAAAACAAACAAATGAAAACCAAAAATATAGATATTCTGTTCTTCAGATGTTCCCTTAAAGAAAGTAAAAAGATGAGCTAAGCATTGAAGAAGATAGGTGCAATGCATTTATTTGTGACAAAGAAAGAATGTGTATGTGTGAACACACACACAGTATTTATCCTCTCACATATTGCTTAATGATTATCAGGTATGTTGTTTGGTATCTAGCTATTCAAACTCCCCTCCTATAATCTACAAGTCTTGTAGTTTAGCCTTTCCTAGAACAGATGAGGTAATAAGCAAAAATAAGCTTCTGTAAACCACATAAATAAAGCATTTCCTACCTTTGTGGAGTTCTGGAAAACTGTAAAAATGATCCAGGAGGCTAATATAAACAACAGTGCCAATAGTGACTTATAATTTATCATACTTATTTTCATGATTAGGATCCTACAAGAGACAATACAAAAACAAGCACAAAAACATACAACAAAACAGAAAAGCAAACAAACATGGGAAACATTTGAAATTTTTTTGGCTCATGATTACTTTTTAGCCTCAGATAAATAACTCCCAGAAATAAACCTTCACCCCCGCAAGCTGTACTTGGTATCTCCCAGGTGCTCTCTTTTAGCTATCTGCTTGTACATTCTACAGAACAGATAATTCATGGAGCCCACTGTGATCTTTAAGAAATCGAGCAGCTTAAGGGCCTGAAGGATGCAAGCTTGCTCGTGTCTAGATGAAGTCTCCAGACTATTTGTCACCTATCAGGTTCCCTGTTCTATTCCCTTAAACTCAAGGGCAGACACAAAATACTCCAGCAAATATTAACACTGAGAACCACATCATTACAGTGCCTGTTGAATGCAAATTAGTTTTTCTGTTTCATTAATGCCAATCTATTAATATGTCCTCCTTTTCTGTTTTAGCAGGCTTTCTAGCACCCCCTCAAGCTTGAAAAGAATTATTTTAAAACATTTCTTACTTAAAAAAATTTCAGGCTTTATCAGTATTTTTCCATGATTCATCTTAACATTTCTCTTTGCACCGGAATTCCAAGTTCTCTTTTAACTTGGAACTTTAAACTTTAACATCAGATTGCTTGAATGCTGCCTTTCTAAAACTTTCCATCCCTCAAAATTTACCCTCCCCTAGAAGCACCTTTCACCCCAGATCCCTAGTTTATACATGGGCATTAGATGTTTCTGCACCCAAAAATAAATGTCACACCTTTCCCTCACCTTCCCAATTTTACAAATTTTTTCATACCTTTAGTTTACAGATTGTTCAATCCCATACATAGACTCTCTGGCGAGCTAGGTGTTGAGAATTTCTTCTGAAGCCACCAGTGTGCTACTGGCATACCTCTTGTCTATACCAAAATAAATTGCAGATATAAGTTGCAGTTTGTTTACCTTTAGCATGGATTCACAACCTTCTGCTTGTTTCAGCTAAGACAGAAGTGTCAGCCACGTCAGCTCCACCTTAAGGAGGGGCCTGGATCACAAACTGTAGTTATTAGCTCAAGCAGAGGTAGGAAGGAGAAATGAAGTGCTCTGCATAGTAGGTTATATGATTTCAAATTCCTGAAGTTTTATAAGTCTAATTCTAGTTACAATAAATAACTGATGAGAAAAAGAGTGTTTGATAAATAATTGTATTTAGTTAATACAATTTGATAAATATTATAGTTACAATAAATAACTGATGAGAAAAAGAGCCACAAGTTTGAATGATTGAGAGTAATCATCAACAGAAAGTCAAACTTTCTAGTTTCCATCTAGCGTTATCATCAAGACCCAGTTGGCAGGATTCAAGTGCGTATTATCTCATACATAGTAGGTTTCAATACAATTTGCTGAATTGAACTAAAAGAACTTCAAATATAACATAGGGAAGACAATAATATTAATTGCATCTGAGACTAACAGAGTGACAGCTTGTAGTCATGGGTTTGAATCCATCTGGGATTTGTATTCTTGATCTGATGAAAACAGTGCTGGAAAGAGCAGGCACCCAGACAGCTGCACCAGTGCCCACAGGAAGCAGTAGCTGCTGGCCCTGTGGCTCCGTCCATGGGTTGATTACTGCTGCCCTACACAGGAGGGCATGCCCATCATCTTTCCATCTTATTTAAGCATGCCCATCAATCTTTCCAGTCTTATGTTTTTAAAAAGATGGAATCAAGACCAGTTTCACAACTGGTCTACTTGTTTCAGATCTTGAAATTCTTCCAACATCTTTGATCCTGTTCTACCAAATTCACCTTAACAATACTTCTTTATGTCTTTACTTGATGACCTTTGGAAAAGCTGTTTTAACATTATAAAACTGGGTGTAGGATTGTTAAATTTTTCACTGAGGAGCCTATAATAAGAAAAAAGTATTTGCAGTGGGTTTGGTTTGGCTGTTCCTTAGAGGACTGATGCCAGCAACCACCCAAGTTCACAGTCTACTCTGAGACATATAGATTTATAGATTTTAATTTGGTTTGGTCACATAGATTTTGAAATCTAATGTTAACCTGGAGTCTGTTTATGAGGTAGGCACAATAGATATGCTTGACTTAAAGAACCAAGAGTACAAAAGAAAGTTTGAATGATTTGTGCAGGTCATCTGATGAGCTTTGAAACAGGGCTGAATCCAAGATTCCTTTCATTTTGATCTCTAACACTGTGTGTTTATAGTGTATATGTATAACAACATAAGCACAAAGAATGAAAACTAGGAAGTTGGAAAAACTATCTTGAAGTCTTTATACCATGTGTGAATTGGGATAATATTACTTGAAGGATAGACTCTGATTAATTAAGAAAAATATTGTAACCCTGGTATAACCACTAAATATTTCTTTTAAAAAGTGGTATACATAATAAATCAACAATGAAGATTAAATGAAATAATAAAAAATGTTTGATTAGCCCAATAGAAGGAAAAGGAGGAAAAAAAGAAGTGGAACATAGCAAACTGTCAATATATTCTTAAATTCAAATATATGAACAGTGATCTGAAATCTGAATGATATTAACCAGGGGTGGACAAACTTTTTCTGTAAAGAATCAGATAGAAAATATTTTCGGAGAAAGAAACTATAAACAAGAAAATGTAATGGGTATATTAAAATTAACCTTGTGATATTCAGTTGGAATTAGAATAATCAGTATGCACTCAGTTTTTTGATGGATAAATATGCATTTTTATGCATACATGGGTTCATGCACACAGATGTATATTTTCAAGCTCTGTCCATAGAGAAGCCCTAGAAGCAATGACACCTAGTGCCTAGACCTTGGTTTCTTAATTCTCCAGTAAAGGGAGCCAGAATTTCTTGGAGAAGTGGCTGGTTGATTCCATCACTTTGTCAGGGGATATGAAATGAGCCTGGAGCATCTCGGGGTGCTAGGAAATGCCTTTTAAAAAATGGAGGTACATGTCAAAATGGCCCAGAAGCTAACCTGAAAGAGCTCCTGATGACCAAAGTTGCAACAATTTGAGCCACAAAATAAATAACAATTGTTTTGGAATATATATTAATCTACACTCACATTTCAAAATACAATCATTGTTCTCACATTTCAAAATACAATCATGCCTTCCCAACAGTCCCTCAAAGTCTTAGTGAATTTCAGCATTAACTCAAAAGTCTGAAGTCCAAAGTCTCATTTGAGACAAGGTAAGTCCCTTCCACCTATGAGCCTGTAAAATCAAAATCAAGTTAGTTACTTCCAAGATACAATGGGACTATAGGCATTGGGTAAATGTAAAAAAATTCCCTTTTACATTCTAAAAGGGAAAAATTGGCAGAAAGAAAGCAGCTACAGGCTTCATGCAAGTTCAAAACTCAGAAGAGCAGTCACTAAACTTCAGAGCTCCAAAATAATCTCCTTTGACCCCATGTCTCACATCCAGGGCACACTAACGCAAGGGGTGGGCTCCCAAGGACCTGGGCAGCTCTGCCCCTGTGGCTTTGTGTTGAGTGCCTTTGGTTTTTCCAGGTGCAGAGTGCAAGCTGCCAGTGTATCTACCATTCTGGGGTCTGGAGGATGGTGGCCCTTTTCTCACAGCTCCACTAGGCAGTGCCCCAGTGGGGACTCTGTGTGGGGGCTCCAGCCCCACATTGTCCCTCCACACTGCCCTAGTAGAGGTTATCTAGAGGGTTCCACTCCTGCAGCAGACTTCTGCCTGGACATATAGGCTTTTCCATACATCCTCTGAAATCTAAGTAGAGTCTCTCAAGCCTCAACTCTTGCACTCTGTGCACCTGCAGGCTTAATAGCCTGTGGAAGCCACCAAGGCTTATGGCTTGCACTCTCTAAAGCAATGGCTTGAGCTGTACCTGGGCCTCTTTGAGCCATGGCTGGAGCTGGAGCAGCTGGGATGCAGGGACCAGTGTTTTGAGGCTGTGCAGGGTGACAGGGCCCCGGGCCTGGCTCACAAAACCATTCTTCCCTTCTAGGCCTGCAGGTCTGTGATGGGAGAGGCTTCCACAAAGTTCTCTGAAATGCCTTTGAGGCCTTCTCCCCATTGTCTCCACCTGCAGGCTTAACACCCTGTGGAAGCTACCAAGGCTTATGGCTTGCACTCTTTTTGCATTTGGCTCCTTTTTACTTATGCAAATTTCTGCAGCCTTCCTGAATTCCTCCACTGAAAATGACCATTTCTTTTTACCATATGGCCAGGCTGCAAATTTTCCAAACTTTTATACTTTGCTTCCTTTTTAGTATAATTTCCAGTTTTACATCTTTTTTTTGCACATGCATACGAGCATAGGTTGTTAAAGTAGCCAGGCTGCTTCTTGAACACTTTGCTGCTTAGAAATTTCTTCCCCCAGATACCTTAAATCATCACTTTCAAGGTCAAAGTTCCACAGATCCCTTGGACAGGGGTACAGTGCCTCCAAGTTCTTCACTAAACCATAACAAAACTGACCTTTACTCCGATTCCCAGTAAGTTCCTCATCTCCTTCTGAGACCTCCTCAGACTGGACTTCATTGTCCATATCACTACCAGTATTTTGGTGGCAACAATTTAACAAGTCTCTAGGAAGTTCCAAAGTTTCTCTTATATTCTTGTCTTCTTCTGGGCCCTCCACCCTCTGCCTGTTATCCAGTTAAAGTTGCTTTGACATTTTCAGGTATATTTATGGCAGTGTTCCACTCCCCAGTGCTAATTTTCTGTATTAGTCTGTTCTCACGCTGCTATAAAAATATTTGAGACTGGGTAATTTATAAAGAAAAGAGATTTAATTGGCTTATGGTTCCACAGGCTATACAGGGAGCATGGTAGCTTCTGCTTCTGGGAAGGCCTCAGGGAGCTTTTACTCATGGCAGAAGGCAAAGTGGGAGCAGGTGTCTTACATGGCCAGAGCAGGAGCATGAGTTTGCGGGAGGGGCTACACATTTTTAAACAACAAGATCTTGTGAGAACTCACTCACTATACAGTACCAGTGGGGGATGGTGCTAAACCATTTATAAGAACTCTGCCCCCGTGATCCAATTACGTCCTACCAGGCCCCAGCTCCAACACTGGGGATTAGAATTCAACATGAGATTTGGGCAGGGACACAGATCCAAACCATATCAGAATATAACCCATGGAATTAAAAAAAATCTATGAGTTCATATCTATACAAGTAAATAATAGCATAAATAAATGGGGTAAAATAAACAGCTGTTCCTCACAGAAGAATTCCAACTAACAAATATGGCAAAAGTGAAGGAAATACAAAGTGAGCATTAGAACTCTTCAGTAATAATTGCTGTACTCAATATGTGCTAATGAATACTAAAATCAGTGAGGAAAAGTTTGAAGAAAAACAAGTTTATTTCCACCAATATATTTATAATTTCAAAGTTAAAAATAGTAACATTAGAGTGCAGAAAATCAATGAACATCTGCTTACCCAAGTGATGATGGGTTAACATAACCAGTAAGAAGACATATCTTGGTTGGCAATAATCTGCCAGCCTTTTCTATAATTCAAAAACTCATTTAAAAGTCAAAACAATTAAAAGTCTTCTCAAATTGAAACAAAAATAGTTATACATGAAATGACCCATTTTCCTCATTCCTTCATTTACCAAATAATCTGCCAAATAGTTAATCATTTCTAATAAGACACAAATGCTGTACTGAGAAGGGCACATCACGTCTATGGTATTCTTGAAAGCAATGTATAACTTCAATGTAATTATGAGAAAATTTTGCATAGAAAAAAATTGAGTGACGTTCTACAAAATAATATTTTTCTAAAGTGTCACAATCATGAAAAACCATGTAAGACTAAGCAACTGTCCCCAGCTAAGGAGACATGATGACTAAATGCAATTTGAGATCCTGGATTGGGTCCTGAAATAGAAGAAGGACATTAACGGAAAAACTAGTAAAATCCAAAAAAAGTCTGTAATTTCACTGATAGTTACTAGTGTACCAATGTTAATTTCTTAATTCTGAACATTTGATTATTATGCAAGATGTTATTTACTGATGCTGGCTGAAGGATATATGAGAATCCTCTATACTATTTTGAAACTTTTCTATAATTCAAAAATGTATTAAAAGTAAAAAGAATTAAAAACCTTTTCAAATGGGAAAATATAATATAGTTCTCCATGAAATGATTCAGTTTCCACATATCGTATACCAAATAATTTGCCAAATAGTCCATCATTTCGAACAGGTTGATGCTGCCACTTGAACATTTCAAGTTGCCATCTGTACAAGTTTTAATCTATCAATGTCACACTGTTGTTTTTTGTTTTGCTATTTACTTATTTATATTTAAATAACTTTAGGGGCACAAGTGATTTTTGGTTATGTGGATGAATTGTATAATGGTGAACTCTGGAGTTTTAGTGTACCTGTCACTCAAATAGCATACATTTTACCCAATAAGTAATTTTTCATCCCATTTCCCTTCCCATGCTCCCTCTTTCTGAGTCTTCAAAATCCATTATACCACTCTGTATGATTTTGGGTACTCATAGCTTAAATCCCACTTATAAGTGAGAATATGTGGTATTTGGTTTTCATTCCTGAGTTATGTCACTTAGGATAATACCCTCCAGTTCCATCCGTGTTGCTGCAAAAGATGTAATTTTGTTCTTTTTAAATTTATGTATATATTTATATTATATATAATATAAAATTTATATAAATTAAATATTTATTATATAGTATATAAATTATATATTATATATTATAATTATATATAATATATATTATTTATAATTATATATAATTATATATTATAATTATATATTATATATATTATTTATAATTATATATAATTATATATTATATATTATTTATAATTATATATAATTATATATTATAAATAATTATATATTATAATTATAGATTATATATATTTATAATTCTTTATATATTATATATTATAATTATATATTATATATAATTATAATATATAATATATATGTGATTATATATTATAATTATATAACATGTGATATATGATTATATATTATATAATTATATATAATATATAATTATATATATAATATAAAATATATAATATACAATTATATATATTATATATAATTATATATTATATTTATATATATTATATAATTATATATAATATATTTATATATATTATATAATTATATATAATATTATATATTATATATTCTGTTATATATAATATATAATGTATCTAATGTATTATATTATATATAATATATGTTATACTATATAATATATATTATATTATATATATTATAATATATATTCTATATTTTATTATATATAACATATATTATAATATATATAATTATATATATTATACATAACATATACTATATATAATATACATTATTTATAATATATTATACTATATACATTATATATAATATATAATACTATATACAATATATGTTATAGATTATATATTATACTATATACAATATATGTTATATATAATATATATTATACTATATATATGTTATCTATAACATATACTATATATAATATATATTATACTATATATATGTTATCTATAACATATACTATATATAATATGTTATATACAATATATATTATGCTATATATTATATATTATACACTATTGAACATATCAATAAATGTAATTATAATATATAATATATATTATAAATAATATATAAATTATAGATTATATATAACATATATTATCCCATATGTAAATTATAGATTATACCACATATGATAATTATCTCATATACAAATTATAGATTATATCATTTATAATAATTATCTCATATATAAATTACAGATTCATATATAATAATTATCTCATATATAAATTATAGATTCATATATAATAATTTTCTCATATATAATAATTACAGAATCATATGTAATAATTATCTCATATATAATAATTACAGAATCACATATAATTATCTCATATATAATTAAAGAATCATATATAAGTATCTCATATATAATTACAGAATAATGTATAATAATTATCTCATATAATTACAGAATCATATATAATAATTATCTCATATAATTACAGAATCACATATAATTATCTCATATATAATTATAGAAACATAATTATCTAATATATAATTACAGAATCATATATAATAATCTAATATATAATTACAGAATCATAATTATCTCATATACAATTACAGAATCATATAATTATCTCATATATAATTACAGAATCATATATAATAATTCTCTCATATATAATACGGAACCGTATATAATAATTATTGTCTCATAGGTAACTATTATTACCTAGTGGATAATAATTATTGTCTTGTCTCATAGGTAACTACTATTATCTAGTGGATAATAATTATTGCCTTGTCTCCTAGGTAACTACTATTACCTGGTGGATGATAAGTATTGCCTCGTCTCCTAGGTAACTCCTATTACCTGGTGGATGATAAGTATTGCCTCGTCTCCTAGGTAACTCCTATTTCCTGGTGGATGATAAGTATTGCCTCGTCTCCTAGGTAACACCTATTACCTGGTGGGTGATAAGTATTGCCTCATCTCCTAGGTAACTCCTATTACCTGACGGATGATAAGTATTTCCTCATCTCCTAGGTAACACCTATTACCTGGTGGATGATAAGTATTGCCTCGTCTCCTAGGTAAATTCCATTACCTGGTGGATGATAAGTATTGCCTCGTCTCCTAGGTAACTCCTATTACCTGGTGGATGATAAGTATTGCCTCGTCTCCCAGGTAACTCCTGTAACTTGGTGGATGATAAGTATTGCCTCGTCTCCTAGGTAACTCCTATTACCTGGTGGATGATAAGTATTGCCTTGTCTCCTAGGTAACTCCTATTACCTGGTGGATGGCAAGTATTGCCTCGTCTCTTGGGTAACTCCTATTACCTGGGGGATGATAAGTATTGCCTCGTCTCCTAGTTAACTCCTATTACCCAGTGGATGATAAGTATTTCCTCGTCTCCTAGGTAACTACTGTTACCTGGAGGATAATAAGTATTGCCTCGTCTCCTAGGTAACTCCTATTAACTGGTGGATAATAAGTATTGCCTCCTCTCCTAGGTAACTAATATTATCTGGTGGTTAATAAGTATTGCCTCGTCTCCAAGGGTAACTGCTAATACCTGGTGGATAATAAGTATTGCCTCTTCTCCTAGGTAACTACTATTACCTGGTGGATAATAAGTATTGCCTCGTCTCCTAGGTAACTACCATTACGTGGTGGATAACAGTATTGCCTCATAGGTAACTACTGCTACCTGGTGGATAATAAGAATTGCCTCATAGGTAACTACTGTTATCTGCTGGATAATAAGTATTGCCTCATAGGTAACTACTGATACCTGCTGGAAAATAAGTATTGCCTCGCAGTTAACTACTGTTACCTGGTGGATAATAAGTATTGCCTTGTGGGTAACCACTGTTACCCGGTTTATAATAAGTGTTGACTCTTGGGTAACCAGTGTTACCTGCTAGATAATAAGTGTTGCCTCGTGGGTAACAATTCTTACCCTGTGGAAAATAAGTGTTGCTTCGTGGGTAACCACTGTTACCCAGTGGACAATAAGTGTTGCCTCGTGGGTAACCACTGTTACATGATGGATAGTAAGTATTGCCTCGTGGGTAACCATTGTTACCCGGTGGACACTAAGTATTGCCTTGTGGGTAACCACTGTTACCTGGTGGATAATAAGTGTTGCCTCTTGGGTAACCACTGTTACCTGGTAAATAATAAGTATTTCCTTGTGGATAACCACTGTTACCTGGTGGATGATAAATATTTCCTCATGGGTAACCACCATTACCCACCGGATACTAAGTATTGCCTTGTGGGTAACCGCTGTTACCCGGTGGATAATAAATATTGCCTCGTGGGTAACCACAGTTACCTGGTGGAGAATAAGTAATGCCTTGTGGGTAACCACTGTTACTCGGTGGATAATAAGTATTGCCTCATTGGTAACCACTGTTACCCAGTGGATAATAAGTGTTGCCTCGCGGGTAACCACTGTTACCTGGTGGATAATAATTGTTGCATTGTGGGTATCCACTGTTACCTGCTGGATAATAATTGTTGCCTCACGGGTAACCACTGTTACCCGGTGGATAATTAGTGTTGCCTCTAGGGTACCCACTGTTACCTGGTGGATAATAATTGTTGCCTCTAGGGTAACCACTGTTACCCAGTGGATAATAAGCATTGCCTCACAGGTAACCACTGTAACCCAGTGGATAATAAGTACTGCCTCGTGGGTAACCACTGTTACCCAGTGGATAATAAATATTGCCTCGTGGGTAACAGCTGTTACCCTGTGGAAGATAAGTGTTGCCTTGTGGGTAAGCACTGTTTCCCAGGGATAATAAGTGTTGCCTTGTGAGAAACCACTCTTACCCAGTGGATAATAAGTATTGCCTCGTGGGTAACTGCTGTTACCCACTGGATAATAAGTACAGCCTCGTGGGAAACCACTGTTACCTGGTGGATAATAAGTATTGACTTGTGGGTAACCACTCTTACCTGGTGGATAATAAGTATTGCCTCGTGGGTGACCACTGTTACCTGCTGCATAATAAGTATTGCCTATGGGTAACCACTGTTACCTGGTGGATAATAAGTATTGCCTCGTGCGTAACCACTGTTACCCACTGGATAACAACTGTTGCCTTTGGTAACCACAGTTACCCGGTGGATAATAAGTGTTGCCCCGTGGGTAACCACAGTTACCCGGTGGATAATGTGTTGCCTCATGGGTAACCACTGTTACCCGGTGGATAATAAGTATTGCCTCGTCGGTAACCACTGTTACCCGGTGGATAATAAGTGTTGCCTCGTGGGTAACCACAGTTAGCTGGTGGATAATACATGTTGCCTCATGTGTAACCATTGTTACCCTGTGGATAATACATGTTACCTAATGGGTAACCACTTTGCCCAGTGGATAATAAGTATTGCCCCTAGGGTAATCACTGTTAACCAGTGGATAATAAGTATTGCCTCTAGGGTTACCACTGTTACGCAGTGGAAAACAAGTATTGCCTCATGGGTAACCACTGTTACCTGGTGGATAATAAGTGTTGCCTCGTGCATAACCAATGTTACCCGGTTTATAATAAGTGTTGCCTCATGGGAAACCACTGTTACCTGGTGGATAATAAGTGTTGCCTCGTGGGTAACCATTGTTACCAGGTGGATACTAAGTATTGCCTCATGGGTAACCACTGTTACCAGGAGGATAATAAGGTCTGCCTCGTGGGTAACCACTGTTATGCACTGAATAATAAGTATTACCTCATGGGTAGCCACTGTTATCTGGTGGATAATAAGTATTGTCTCTAGGGTAACCACTGTTACCTGGTGGATAATAAGTATTGCCTTGTGGGTAATCACAGTTACCCGGTGGATAATACGTATTGCCTCATGGGTAACCACTGTTACCTGCTGGATAACAAGTGTTGCCTTTGGTAAGCACAGTTACCTGGTGGATAATAAATGTTGCCTCATGGGGAACCAGTGTTACCCAGTGGATAATAAGTGTTACCTTGTGGGTAACTACTGTTACCCAGTGGATACTTAGTGTTGCCTCATGGGTAACCACTGTTACCCGGTGGATAATAAGTATTGCCTCGTGGGTAACCAGTTTTACCTGGGAGATAATGTGTTGCCTCTAGGGTAACCACTGTTCCTTGGTGGATAATAAGTGTTGCCTCTAGGGTAACCACTGTTACCCTTTGGATAATAAGTGTTGCCTCATGGGGAACCACTGTTACCTGGTTTATTATAAGTATTTCCTTGTGGGTAACCACTGTTACCTGGTGGATAATAAGTGTTGCCTCGTGGGAAACCAGTGTTACTCGGTGGATAGTAAGTATTGCATCATGGGTCACCACTGTTACCCGGAGGGTAATAAGGACTGTCTCATGGGTAACCACTGCTACCTGCTGGATAATAAGTAGTACCACAGGGGTAACCACTATTATCCAGTCGATAATAGGTATTGCTTGTAGGGTAACCACTGTTACCCAGTCGATAATAAGTGTTGCCTCGTGGGTAATCACTGTTATGCAGTGGATAATAAGTATTGCCTCATGGGTAACCACTGTTACCCGGTGGATAATAAGTATTGTCTCATGGGTAACCACTGTTATCCTGTGGATAATAAGTGTTGCCTTGTGGGTAACCACTGTTTCCCAGTGGATAATCAGTATTGCCTCTAGAGTAATCACGGTTACCCAGTGGATAATAAGTATTGCCTCGTGGGTAACCACTGTTACCCTGTGGATAATAAGTATTGCCTCGTGAGTAACCACTGTTACCCGGTTTATAATAAGTGTTGCCTCTTGGGTAACCAGTATTACCCACTGGATAATCAGTGTTGCATCGTGGGTGACAATTCTTACCCTGTGGAAAATAAATGTTACCTCGTGTGTAACCACTGTTACCTGGTGGATAATACGTGTTGCCTCATGGGTAACCACTGTTGCCTGGTGGATAGTTAGTATTGCCTCGTGGGTCACCATTGTTAGCCCGTTGATACTAAGTATTGCCTCGTGGGTAACCACTGTTATCCGGTGGATAATAAGTGTTGCCTCTTGGGTAACCACTGTTACCTGGTGGATAATATGTATTTCCTCGTGGGAAACCACTGTTACCTGGTGGATGATAAATATTGCCTCATGGGTGAACACCATTACCGGCTGGATACTAAGTTTTGCCTGGTGGGTAACCACTGTTACCCGGTAGATAATAAGTATTGCCTCGTGGGTAACCACAGTTACCCAGTGGATAATAAGTCATGCCTCGTGAGTAACCAGTGTTACCCGGTGGATAAGTGTTGCCTCGCGGTTAACCACTCTTACACAGTGGATAATAAGTGTTGAGTTGCGGGTAACCACTGTTACTTGGTGGATAATAATTGTTGCCTCGTGGGTAACCACAGTTGCCCGGTGGATAATAAGTGTTGCCTCTAGGGTAACCACTGTTACACGGTGGAGAATAAGTGTTGCCTCTTCAGTAACCACTATTACCCATTGGATAATAAGTATTGCCTTGCAGGTAACCACTGTTACCTGGTGGATAGTAAGTACTGCCTCGTGGGTAACCACAGTTACCCAATGGATAATAAGTATTGCCTCATGTCTAACCACTGTTACCCAGTGGATAATAAGTGTTGCCTCGTGAGTCACCGCTGCTACCTGGTGGATAAATGTTGCCTCAGGGAAACCACTGTTACCTGCTGGATAATAAGTGTTTCCTCGGGGGTAACCACTGTTACCCTGTGTCTAATAAGTGTTGCCTCGTGGGTAACCACTGTTACCCAATGGATAATAAGTATTGCCTCATGGGTAACCAGAGTTACCCTGTGGATAATAAGTATTGCCTCGTGGGTAACCATGGTTACCCGGTGGATAATACGTGTTGCCTCATGGGTAACAACTGTTGCCCTGTGTATAAAAGTTTTGCCTTGTGGGTAACCACTGTTACCCAGTATTTAATAAGTGTTGCATCATGGGTAACCAGTGTTACTTGCTGGATAATAAGTGTTGCCACGTGGGTAACAACTCTTACCATGTGGATAATAAGTGTTGCCTCATGGGTAACCACTGTTACCTGGTAGATAATAAGTGTTGCCTCGCAGGAAAGCACTGTTACTCAGAGGATAGTAAGTATTGCCTTGTGGGTAATCAATGTTACCTGGTAGATGATAAGTGTTGCCTCGTGGGTAAGCACTGTTACCCGGTGGATAATAATTGTTGCATCGTGTGTATCCACTGATACCCACTGGATAATAATTGTTGCCTCTAGGGTAACCACTGTTACTTGGTGGATAATACTTGTTGCCTCGAGGGTAACCACTGTTACCCGGTGGATAATAAGCATTGCCTCCCAGGTAACCACTGTAACCAGGTGGATAATAAGTACTGCCTCGTGGGTAACCACTGTTACCCAATGGATAATAAGTACTGCCTCATGGATAACCACGGTTACCCTGTGGAAAATAAGTGTTGCCTCGTGGGTAAGCACTGTTACCTGGTGGATAATAAGTGTTGCCTTGTGGGTAACCACTCTTACCCGGTGGATACCAAGTATTGCCTCGTGGGTAACCACTGTTACCCAATGGATAAGTACTGCCTCGTGGGTAACCACTGTTACCCTGTGGAAAATAAGTGTTGCCTCGTGGGTAACCACTGTTGCCAGGTGGATAATAAGTGTTGCCTTGTGGGTAACCACTCTTACCTGGTGGATACTAAGTATTGCCTCGTGGGTAACCACTGTTATCCGGTGGATAATAAGTGTTGCCTCATGGGTAGCTACTGTTACCCGGTGGATAATAAGTATTGCCTCGTGGGTAACCACTGTTACCTGGTGGATGATAAATATTGCCTCATGGGTAGCCACCATTACCCACCAGATACTGAGTTTTGCTTCGTGGGTAACCACTCTTACCCAGTGGTTAATAAGTATTGCCTCATTGGTAACCACTGTTACCCGGTGGATAATAAGTATTGCCTCGTGGGTAACCACGGTTACCCTGTGTATAATAAGTAATGTCTCATTGGTAACCACCGTTACCCGGTGGATAATAAGTATTGCATCGCTGGTAACCACTGTTACCCTGTGGATAATAAGTGTTGCCTCTCTGGTAACCACTGTTACCCAATGGATAATAAGTGTTGCCTCTAGGGTAACCATTGTTACCTGGTGGATAATAAGTACTGCTTCGTGGGTAACCACTGTTACCCAATGGATAATGAGTATTGCCTCCTGGGTAACCACTGTTACCATGTGGATAATAAGTGTTGCCTCGTGGGTAGGCATGCTTACCCGATGGATAATAAGTGTGGCCTCGTGGGTAACGACTATTACCCAGTGGATAATAAGTATTTCCTCATGGGTAACCACTGTTACCCGGTGGATAATAAGTATTGCCTCATGGATAACCACTGTTACCCGGTGGACAATAAGTATTGCCTCGCGGGTAACCACAGTTACCTGATGGATAATAAGCATTGCCTGGTGGATTACCATGGTAACCCGATGGATAATAACTATTGCCTCGCGGGTAACCACTCTTACCCAGTGGATAATAAGTGTTGCCTCCTGGGTAACTACCATTAACCGGTGGATAATAAGTGTTGCCTCGTGGGTAACCACTGTTACACGGTGGATAATAGTTGTTGCCTCACAGGTAACCACTGTTACCTGGTAGATAATACATGTTGCCTCGTGGGTAGGCACTTTTCCCCGGTGGATAATAAGTCTTGCCTCATGGGTAACCACTGTTAACTGGTGAATAATAAGTGTTGTCTTGTGGGTAACCCGTTACCCCGTGGATAATAAGTATTGCCTTGCAGCTAACCACTGTTACCTGGTGGATAATAAGTATTGCCACGTGGGTAGCCACTGTTACCCAGTCAATAATAAGTGTTGCCTCGTGGTTAACCACTGTTACCCTCTGGATAATAGGTGTTGCCTACCCGGTGGATAATAAGTGTTGCCTAGTGTGTAACCACTGTTATCCGGTGAATAATAAGTATGGCCTCATGAGTAACCACTGTTACCCAGTTGATAATAAATATTGCCTCGTGGGTAACCACTGTTATCCAGGGAATAATACCTATTGCCTCTCGGGTAACCACTGTTTCCCGGTGGATAATAAGTGTTGTTTCTAGGGTAACCACTGTTACCCAGTGGATAATAAGTGTTGCCTCATGTGTAACCACTGTTACCCGGTGGATAATAAGTGTTGCCTCGTGGTTAACCACTGTTACCCGGTGGATAATAGGTATTGCCTCGTGGTTAACCACTGTTACCCGGTGGATAATAAGTGTTGCCTCATGGGTAACCACTGTTAACCGGTGGATAATACATGTTGCCTCGTGGTTAACCACTGTTACCCGGTGGATAATACCTGTTTCCTCCTGGGTAACCACTGTTGCCCTTTGGATAATAAGTGTTGCCTTGTCGGTAACCACTGTTACCCAGTGGATAATAAGTATTGCCTCTAGGGTTATCACTGTTACCCTGTGGATAATAAGTATTGCCTCTAGGGTAACCACTGTTCCCCGGGGGAAAATAAGCATTGTCTCATGGGTAATCAATGGTACCTGGTGGATAATAAGTATTGCCTCGTGGGTAACCACTGTTGCCTGGTTTGTAATAAGTGTTGCCTCGTGGGTAACCACTGTTACCCACTGGATAATAAATGTTGCCTCGTGGGTCACAACTCTTACTCTGTGGATTATAAGTGTTGCGTCATGGGTAACCACTGTTACCTGGTGGATAATAAGTGTTGCCTCGTGGGAAACCAGTGGATAGTTAGTATTGCCTCATGGGTCCTCACTGTTACCCGGAGGATAATAAGGACTGTCTCATGGGTAACCACTGCTACCCGCTGGATAATAAGTAGTACTGCATGGGTAACCACTGTTATCCAGTCAATAATAGGTATTGCTTCTAGGGTAACCACTGTTACCCTGTCGATAATAAGTGTTGCCTCATGGGTAATCACTGTTACCCAGTGGATAATAAGTATTGCCTCATGGGTAACCACTGTTACCCGGTGGATAATAAGTGTTGCCTCGTGGGTAACCACTGTTTCCCAGTGGATAATAAGTATTGCCTCTAGGGTAATCACTGTTACCCAGTGGATAATAAGTATTGCCTCGTGGGTAACCACTGTTACCCTGTGGATAATAAGTATTGCCTCATGAGTAACCACTGTTACCCGGTTTATAATAAGTGTTGCCTCTTGGGTAACCAGTATTACCTGCTGGATAATAAGTGTTGTGTCGTGGGTCACAATTCTTACCCTGTGGAAAATAAGTGTTACCTCGTGTGTAGCCACTGTTACCTGGTGGATAATACGTGTTGCCTCGTGGGTAACCACTGTTACCCGGTGGATAGTTAGTATTGCCTTGTGGGTCACCATTGTTAGCCAGTTGATACTAAGTATTGCCTCATGGGTAACCACTGTTACCCGGTGGATAATAAGTGTTGCCTCTTGGGAAACCACTGTTACCCGGTGGATAATATATATTTCCTCATGGGAAACCACTGTTACCTGGTGTATGAGAAATATTGCCTCATGGGTAAACACCATTACCTGCTGGATACTAAATTTTGCCCGGTGGGTAACCACTGTTACCTGGTAGATAATAAGTATTGCCTCGTGGGTAACCACAGTTACCCAGTGGATAATAAGTCATGCCTCATGGGTAACCACTGTTACCTGGTGGATAAGAAGTGTTGCCTCGTGGGTAACCACTCTTACATGGTGGATAATAAGTGTTGAGTCACGGGTAACCACTGTTACCTGGTGGATAATAATTGTTGCCTCGTGGGTAACCACAGTTGCCCAGTGGATAATAAGTGTTGCCTCTAAGGTAACCACTGTTACACGGTGGAGAATAAGTGTTGCCTCTATGGTAACCACTGTTACACGGTGGAGAATAAGTGTTGCCTCTTCAGTAACCACTATTACCCGTTGGATAATAAGTATTGCCTCGCAGGTAACCACTGTTACCTGGTGGATAGTAAGTACTGCCTCGTGGGTAACCACAGTTACCCGATGGACAATAAGTATTGCCTCATGTCTAACCACTGTTACCCGGTGGATAATAAGTGTTGCCTCGTGGGTCACCACTGCTACCTGATGGATAAGTGTTGCCTCATGGGAAACCACTGTTACCTGCTGGATAATAAGTGTTTCCTCGGGGGTAACCACTGTTACCCTGTGTCTAATAAGTGTTGCCTCATGGGTAACCACTGTTACCCAATGGATAATAAGTATTGCCTCACGGGTAACCAGAGTTACCCTGTGGATAATAAGTATTGCCTCGTGGGTAACCACGGTTACCCAGTGGATAATACGTGTTGTCTCATGGGTAACAACTGTTGCCCTGTGTATAATGTGTTGCCTCGTGGGTAACCACTGTTACCCAGTATTTAATAAGTGTTGCCTCGTGGGTAACCACTGTTACCTGGTGGATAATAAGTGTTGCCTCGTGGGAAAGCACTGTTACCCAGAGGATAGTAAGTATTGCCTTGTGGGTAATCAATGTTACCCCGTGGATAATAAGTGTTGCCTCACGGGTAAGCACTGTTACCCGGTGGATAATAATTGTTGCATCGCATGTATCCACTGTTACCTGCTGGATAATAATTGTTGCCTTGCGAGTAACCACTGTTACCCAATGGATAATTAGTGTTGCCTCTAGGGTAACCACTGTTACCTGGTGGATAATACTTGTTGCCTTGAGGGTAACCACTGTTACCCGGTGGATAATAAGCATTGCCTCCCAGGTAACCACTGTAACCAGGTGGATAATAAGTACTGCCTCATAGATAACGACTGTTACCCGATGGATAATTAGTGTTGCCTCTAGGGTAACCACTGTTACCTGGTGGATAATACTTGTTGCCTCGAGGGTAACCACTGTTACCCGGTGGATAATAAGCATTGCCTCACAGGTAACCACTGTTACTAGGTGGATAATAAGTACTGCCTCATGGGTAACCACTGTTACCCGATGGATAATAAGTACTGCCTCGTGGATAACCACGGTTACCCTGTGGAAAATAAGTGTTGCCTCGTGGGTGGGTAAGCACTGTTACCTGGTGGATAATAAGTGTTGCCTCTTGTGTAACCACTGTTACCTGCTGCATAATAAGTATTGCCTCGTGGGTAACCACTATTACCCAGTGGATAATAAGTATTGCTTCGTGGGTAATCACTGTTACCTGCTGCACAATAAGTGTTGCCTATTGGGTAACCACTGTTACCTGGTGGATAATAAGTATTGCCTCATGGGTAACCACTGTTACACACTGGATAACAAGTGTTGCCTTTGGTAACCACAGTTACCCAGTGGATGATAAGTGTTGCCTCGTGGGGAGCCACTGTTACCCAGCAGGTAATAAGTGTTGTCTCATGGGGAACCACTGTTACCCGGTGGATAATAAGTGTTGCCTGGTGGGTAACCACAGTTAGCCGGTGGATAATACGTCTTGCCTCATAAGTAACCACTGTTACCCTGTGGATAATACGTATTGCCTAATAGGTAACCACTTTTGCCCTGTGGATAATAAGTGTTGCCTCGTGGGTAACCACTGTTACCCAGTGGATAATAAGTATTGCCTCTAGGGTAATCACTGTTTACCGGTGGATAATAAGTATTGCCTCTAGGGTTACCACTGTTACCCAGTGGAAAATAAGTATTGTCTCGTGGGTAACCACTGTTACCCGGTGAATAATAAGTGTCGCCTCATGCATAACCACTGATACCTGGTTTATAATAAGTGTTGCCTCGTGGGTAACCAGTGTTACCTGCTGGATAATAAGTGCTGCCTCATGGGTACCAACTCTTACCCTGTAATAAGAGGGATATTATCCACCATGTAATGTTAATGGATAATAAGTGTTGCCTCGTGGGTAACCACTGTTACCCTGTGGATAGTAAGTATTGCTTCATGGGTAAGCCCTGTTACCCGGTGGATAGTAAGTATTGCCTCGTAGGTAACCACGGTTACCTGATGGATAATAAGTGTTGCCTCTAGGGTAACCACTGTTACCTGGTGGATAATAAGTGTAGCCTCTAGGGTAACCACTGTTACCCAGTGGATAATAAGTATTGCCTCGTGGGTAACCACTGTTACCCGCTGGATGACAAGTGTTGCCTTTGGTAAGCACAGTTACCCGGTGGATAATAAATGTTGCCTCATGGGGAACCAGTGTTACCCAGTGGATACTAAATGTTACCTTGTGGGTAACTACTGTTACCCGGTGGATAGTAAGCGTTGCCTCGTGGGTAACCACTGTTACCTGGTGGATTATAAGTATTGCCTTGTGGGTATCCACTGTTACCCACTGGATAAGTGTTGCCTCGTGGGTAACCACTGTTACCTGGTGGATAATAAGTGTTGCCTCCTGCGTAACCAGTGTTACCCAGTGGATAATAAGTGTTCCTCATGGGTAACCATTGTTACCTGGTGGATGATAAGTGTTGCCTCGTGGGTAACCACTGTTATCTGGTGGATAACAAGTGTTGCCTTATGGGTTACCACTGTTTCCCAGTGTATAATAGGTATTGCCTCTAGGGTAATCACTGTTACCCAGTGGATAATGAGTATTGCCTCTTGGGTTACCACTGTTACCTGGTGGATAAGTATTGCCTCGTGAGTAACCACTGTTACCCGGTTTATAATAAGTGTTTCCTCGTGGGTAACCAGTGTTACCCACTGGATAATAAGTGTTGCCTCGTGGGTAACAATTCTTACCCTGTGGAAAATAAGTGTTGCTTCATGGGTAACCACTGTTAACAGGTGCATAATAAGTGTTACCTTGTGTGTAACCACTCTTACCAGGTGGATAGTAAGTATTCCTTCGTTGGTAACCACTGTTAGCCGGTGGATACTAAGTATCGCCTCTTGGGTAACCACTGTTACCCAGTGGATTATAAGTATTTCCTTGTGGGTATCCACTGTTACCTGGTGGATGATAAATATTGCCTTGTGGGTAACCACCATTACCCGCCGGATACTAAGTTTTGCCTCGTGGATAACCACTGTTACCCGGTGGATAATAAGTATTGCCTCGGTAACCACAGTTACCCTATGGAGAATAAGTAATGCCTCATGGGTAACCACTGTTACCCAGTGGATAATAAGTATTGCTTCGTGGGTAACCACTGTTACCTGGTGGATAATACATGTTGCCTCACAGGTAACCACTGTTACCCGGTGGATAATAAGTGTTGCTTCGTGGGTAACCACCTTTACCTGGTGAATAATATTTGCTGCCTCATGGGTAACCACTGGTACCTGGTGGATAATAAGTGTTGCCTCTAGGGTAACCACTGTTACCCGATGGATAATAAGTGTTGCCTCTAGGGTAACCACTGTTATCCATTGGATAATAAGTATTGCCTCACGGGTAACCGCTGTTACTCAGTGGATAATAAGTACTGCCTCATGGGTAACCACTGTTACCCAATGGATAATAAGTATTGCATCCTGGGTAACCACTGTTACCCTGTGGATAATAAGAGATGCCTCGTGTGTAAGCACTGTGACCTGGTCAATAATAAGTGTTGCCTCGTGGGTAACCACTGTTACCTGGTGGATAATATGTATCGACTTATGGGTAACCACTGTTACCCATTGGATAATAAGTATTCTCTCGTGGAAAAGCACTGTGACCCAGTGGATAATAAGTATTGCCTCGTGGGTAACCACTCTTACCCGGTGGATAATAAGTATTGCCTCATGGGTAAACACTGTTACCTGCTGCATAATAAGTAATGCATCATGGGTAACCACTGTTATCCGGTGGATAATAAGTATTGCCTCGTGGGTAACCATGGTTACCCTGTGTATGATAAGTAATGTCTCATGAGTAACTGCTGTTACCTGGTGGATAATAAGTATTGCCTCACTGGTAACCACTGTTACCCAGAGGACAATAAATGTTGCCTCGTGGGTAGCCACTGTAAGCCCCTGGATAATAAGTGTTGTCTCACGTGTAACCACTGTTACCTGATGGATAAGTGTTGCCTCACGTGTAACCACTGTTACCCAGTGGAAAATAATTGTTGCCTCGTGGGTAACCGGTGTTACCTGGTGAATAATAAGTGTTGCCTCTAGTGTAACCACTGTTACCCAATGGATAATAAGTGTTGCCTCGAGGGTAACCACTGTTAACCGGTGGATAATATGTATTGTCTGGTGGGTAACCATTGTTACCCAGTGGATAAAAATTATTGCCTCATGGGTAATCACTGTTACCCAGTGGATAATGAGTATTGCCTCATGGGTAACCACAGTTACCCACTGGATAATAAATGTTGCCTATTGGGTAACCACTGTTACCCGTTGGATAATACGTGTTGCCTCGTCTGAAACCACTGTTACCCAGTGTATAATAAGTGTTGCCTCCTGGGTAACCACGGTTAACCGGTGGATAATAAGTGTTGCCTCTTGGCTTACCACTGTTACACAGTGGATAATAAGTGTTGCCTCGTTGGTAACCACTGTTACCCAGTAGATAATAAATATTGCCTCATGGGTAATGACTGTTACCCGCTGGATACTAGGTATTGTCTCGTGGGTAACCACTGTTACCTGGTGGATAATAAGTGTTGCCTTGTGGGTATCCACTCTTACCCGGTTTATTATTAGTGTTTCCTTGTGGGTAACCACTGTTACCTGGTGGATAATAAGTATTTCCTCGTGGGTAACCTCTGTTACCCAGTGTAGTAAGTATTGCCTCTTGGGTAACAACTGTTAATGCATGGATAATAAGTGTTGCCTCGTGGGTAACCACTGTTACCCTGTGGATAATAAGTGACGTTTTGTGGGTAACCATTGTTACCCAGTGGATAATAAGTGTTGTCTTGTTGGTAACCACTGTTACGCATTGGATAATAAATATTTCCTCGTGGGTAACCACTGTTACCTGGTGGATGATAAATATTGCCTCGTGGATAACCACCATTACCCACCAGATACTAAGTTTTGCCTCGTGGGTAACCACTCTTACCTGGTGGATAATAAGTATTACGTCATTGGTAACCACTGTTACCCGGTAGATAATAAGTATTGCCTCGTGGGTAACCACTGTTACCGGGTGGATAATAAGTATTGCCTCGTGGATAACCACTGTTATCTGCTGGATATCAAATGTTGCCTCGTGGGTAACCACTGTTAACCGGTGGATAATACGTGTTGCCTCGTGGCTAACCACTGTTACCCAGTGGAAAATAATAGTTGCCTCACGGGTAACCGGTGTTACCCGGTGCATAATAAGTGTTGCCTTTAGGGTAACCACTGTTACCCAATGGATAATAAGTGTTGCCTCTAGGGTAACCACTGTTACCCGGTGGATAAAAAGTACTGCCTCGTGGGTAACCACTGTTACCCAATGCGTAATAAGTATTGCCTCCTTGGTAACCACTGTTACCATGTGGATAATAAGTGTTGCCTTGTGGGTAAGCACGGTTACCCGATGGATAATAAGTGTTGCCTCATGGGAAACCAGTGTTACCCAGTTGATAATAAGTATTGCCTCATGGGTAACCACTCTTACCTGGCGGATAATAAGTATTGCCTCATGGGTAACCACTGTAATCTGCTGCATAATAAGTATTGCCTCGTGGGAAACCACTGTTATCCAGTTTGTAATAAGTGTTGCCTCGTGGGTAACCAGTGTTACCCGCTGGATAATAAGTGTTGCCTCGTGGGTAACAACTCTTACCCTGTGGATAATAAGTGTTGCCTCATGGGTAACCACTGTGACCCGGTGGATATTAAGTGTCGCCTCGTGGGAAACCAGTGTTACCTGGTGGATAGTAAGTATTGCCTCGTGGGTAACCATTGGTACCCGGTGGATACTAAGTATTGCCTCATTGGTCACCACTGTTACCCGGAGGATAATAAGGATTGTCTTATGGGTAACCACTGCTACCCACTGGATAATAAGTATTACCGCATGGGTAACCACTGTTATCTGTTGGATAATAGGTATTGCTTCTAGGGTAACCACTGTTACCTGGTCAATAATAAGTGTTGCCTCATGGGTAGTCACTGTTACCCAGTGGATAATAAGTATTGCCTCATGGGTAACCACTGTTACCTGGTGGATAGTAAGTATTGCCTCATGGGTAACCACTGTTATCCTGTGGATAATAAGTGTTGCCTCGTAGGTAACCACTGTTTCCCAGTGGATAATAAGTATTGCCTCTAGGGTGATCACTGTTACCCAGTGGATAATAAGTATTGCCTCGTGGGTAACAACTGTTACCCTGTGGATAATAAGTATTGCCTTGTGAGTAACCACTGTTCCCCGGTTTATAATAAGTGTTGCCTCTTGCGTAACCAGTATTACCCACTTGATAATAAGTGCTGTGTCGTGGGTAACAATTCTTACCCTGTGGAAAATAAGTGTTATCTCGTGCGTAGCCACTGTTATCTGGTGGATAAAAAGTGTTGCCTCGTGGGAAACCAGTGTTACCCAGTGGATAGTAAGTATTGCCTCGTGGGCAACCATTGGTACCCAGTGGATCCTAAGTATTGCCTCATGGGTCACCACTGTTACCCGGAGGATAATAAGGACTGTCTCATGGGTAATCACTGCTACCCACTGGATAATAAGTAGTACCGCATGGGTAAACACTGTTATCTGGTGGATAATAGGTATTGCTTCTAGGGTAACCACTGTTACCCAGTTGATAATAAGTGTGGCCTCATGGGTAACCACTGTTACCTGGTGGATAATAAGTATTGCATCATGGGTAACCACTGTTGCACTGTGGATAATAAGTGTTGCCTCGTGGGTAACCACTGTTACCCAGTGGGTAATAAGTATTGCCTCTAGGGTTATCACTGTTACCCTGTGGATAATAAGTATTGCCTCTAGGGTAACCACTCTTACCCGGTAGAATATAAGTAATGCCTCTTGAGTAATCAATGGTACCTGGTGGATAATAAGTATTGCCTCGTGGGTAACCACTGTTCCCCGCTGGATAATAAGTGTTGCCTTGTGTGTAACCACTGTTACCCGGTAGATAATAAGTGTTGCCACCTGGGTAACCACTGTTACCCAGTGGAGGATAAGTGTTGCCTCGTGGGTAACCACTGTTACCCGGTGGAGAATAAGTGTTGCCTCGTGGGTAACCACTGTTACCCAGTGGAGGATAAGTGTTGCCTCGTGGGTAACCACTGTTACCCGGTGGAGGATAAGTGTTGCCTTGTGGGTAACCACTGTTACCTGGTGGATAATGTGTTGCCTCGTGGGTAACCAGTGCTTCCCAGTGGAAAATGTGTTGCCTCGTGGGTAACCACTGTTACCCTGTGGATAATAAGTGTTGCCTTGTGGGTAACCACTGTTTCCCAGTGGATAATAAGTATTGCCTCTTGAGTAATCACTGTTACCCTGTGGTTAATAAGTATTGCCTCTTGGGTAACCACTGTTACCAGGTGGATAATAAGTAATGCCTCGTGAGTAACCACTGTTACCCAGTTTATAATAAGTGTTGCCTCGTTGGTAACCAGTGTTACCCGCTGGATAACAAGTGTTGCCTCGTGGGTAAGAATTCTTATCCTGTGGAAAATAAGTGTTACCTCATGGGTAACCACTGTTACCCGGTGGATAATAAGTGTTGCCTCGTGAGTAACCACTGTTACCTGGTGGATAGTTAGTATTGCCTCGTGGGTAACCATTGTTACCCAATGGATACTCACTACTGCCTCGTGGGTAACCACTGTTACCTGGTGTATAATAAGTGTTGCCTCTTGGGTAACCACTGTTACCCAGTGGATAATACGTATTTCCTCGTGGGAAACCACTGTTAACTGGTAGATGATAAATATTGCCTCATGGGTAACCACCATTACCCGCTGGATACTAACTTTTGCCTGATGGGTAACCACTGTTATCCGTTGGATAATAATTATTGCCTCGTGGGTAACTACGGTTACCCGGTGGATAATAAGTAATGCCTCGTGGGTAACCACTGTTACCTGGTGGATAATAAATATTGCCTCACTGGTAACCACTGTTACCGGTGGAAAATAAGTGTTGCCTCGTGGGTAACCACTGTTACCCATTGGATAATAAGTGTTGAGTCATGGGTAACCACTGTTACCCAGTGGGTATTAATTGTTGCCTCTAGGGTAACCACTGTTGCCCGGTGGATAATAAGTGTTGCCTCTAGGGTAACCACTTTAAGGCGGTAGATAATAAGTGTTGCCTCTAGGGTAACCACTGTTACGCGGTGGATAATAAGTGTTGCCTCTAGGGTAACCACTGTTACGCGGTGGATAATAAGTGTTGCCTCTAGAGTAACCCAGTGGATTACCCAGTGGAGAATAAATATTGTCTCCCAGGTAACCACTGTTACCTGGTGGATAATAAGTACTGCCTCTTGGGTAACCACAGTTACCCGATGTATAATAAGTATTGCCTCATGTCTAACCACTGTTACCTGGTGGATAATAAGTGTTGCCTCAGGGGAACCACTGTTACCCTGTGTCTAATAAGTGTTGCCTTGTGGGTAACCACTGTTACCCGATGGATAATAAGTATTGCCTCACGGGTAACCACAGTTACCCTGTGGACAATAAGCATTGCCTTGTGGGTAACCACATTTACCTGTTGGATAATAAGTGTTCCCTCATGGGTAACCACTGTTGCCCTCTGGATAATAGGTGTTGTCTCGTGGTTGACCACTGTTACGCAGTGCACAATAAGTGTTGCCTCGTTGGTAACCACTATTACCCCGTGGATAATAAGTATTGGCACATGGGAAACCACTGTTACCCTGTGGATAATAAGTATTGTTTCATGGGTAAACACTGTTACCCAGTGGATAATTAGTGTTGCCTCGTGGGTAACCACTGTTACCTGGTGGATAATAAGTGTTGCCTCATGGGTAACCACAGTTACCCGGTGGATAATACGTGTTGCCTCATGGGTAACCACTGTTATCCGGTGGATAACAAGTATTGCTTTGTGGGTATCCACTGTTACCCGCTGGATAATAAGTGTTGCCTCGTTAGTAAATACTGTTATCTGCTGCATAATATCTGTTATCTCGTGGGTAACCACAGTTACCCTGTGGATAATAAGTATTGCCTCTAAGGTAATCACTGTTACCCAGTGGATAATAAGTATTGCCTCATGGGTAACCTCTATTACTCATTGGAAAATAAGTATTGCCTCGTGTGTAACCACTGTTAAACAGTGGATAATAAGTATTACCTCTAGGGTAACCACTGTTACCTGTTGGATAATAAATGTTTCCTCTAGGGTAACCACTGTGACCCAGTGGATAATAAGTATTGCCTTGTGGGTTACCACTGTTACCCTGTGGATAATAAGTGATGCCTCATTGGTAACCACTGTTACTCAGTGGATCATAATGATTGCCCTGTGGGTAACCACGGTTAACTGCTAGATAATAGGTATTGCCTCATGGGTAACCACTGTTACCCACTGGATAATAATTATTGCCTTGTGGGTAACCACTGTTACCTGCTGGAAAATAAATATTGCCTCATGGGTAAACACTGTTACCTGCTGGATAATAAGTATTGATTTGTGGGTAACCAGTTACCTGGTGGATAAGTATTGCCTCATGGGTAACACCTGTTACCCTGTGGATAATAAGTATGGCCTCATGGGTAACCACTGTTAACCGGTGGATAATAAGTACTGGCTCATGGGTAACCACTGTTACCCAGTGGATAATAAGTATTCCTTCATGGGTAACCACTGTTACCTGGTGGATAATAAGTACTGCCTCATCAGTAACCACTGTTACTCGGTGGATAATAAATATTGCCTCATGGGTAGCCACTGTTACCCAGTGGATAATAAGTATTGCCTCGTGGGTAACCACTATTACCTGGTGGATAATAAGTGTTGCCTCCTGGTTAACCACTGTTATCCAGTGGATAATAAGTGTTGCCTCGTGAGTAATCACTGTTACCTGCTGGATAATAATTGTTGCCTCATGGGGAACCACTGTTACCCAATGCATCATAAGTGTTGCCTCGTGGGTAACCACTGTTACCAAGTGGATAATAAGTATTTCTTGTGGGTAACCACTGTTACCCGGTGTATAATAAGTGTTGCCTTCTGCGTAACCACTGTTACCCAGTGGACAATAAGTATTGCCTCATGGATAACCACTGTTACCAAGTGGAAAATAATTATTGCCTCATGGGTAACCACTGTTACCCTGTGGATAATAGGTATTGCCTCGTGGGTAACCACTGCTACCCGGTGGGTAATAAGCATTACCTCGTGGGTAAACACTGTTACCCAGTGGATAATAAGTGTTGCCTCGTGGGTAACCAGTGTTACCCGGTGGATAATAAATGTTGCCTAGTGGTTAACCCCTTTTCCCGGTGGATAATACGTGTTCCCTCGTGTGTAACCACTGTTACCCAGCGGATAAGTGTTGCCTCATGGGTAATCACTGCTGCCTTGTGGATAATTAGTATTGCCTCATGGGTTACCACTCTTACCCAGTGGATAGTAAGTATTGCTTCATGGGATACCACTGTTAACCAGTTGATAATAAGTATTGCCTCATAGGTAACCACTGTTACCCTGTGGATAATACGTATTGCCTCGTGGGTTACCACTGTTACCCATTGGGTAATATGTATTGCCTCGTAGGAAACCACGGTTACCTGGTGGATAATAAGTGTTGCCTTGCGGGAAACCCCTGTTACCCGGTGGATAATAAGTGTTGCCTTGAGGGTAACCACTGTTATCTGGTGGATAATTAGCGTTGCCTGGCGGATAAGCACTGTTACCCGGTGGATAATAAGTGTTGCCTTGTGGGTAACCAGTGTTAACCGGTGGATAATAATTATTGCCTCTAGGGTAACCATTGTTACCCAGTGGATCATAAATATTGCCTCTAGCATAACCACTGTTTCCCGGTGGGTAATACATATTGCCTCGTGGGTGACAACTGTTACCCAGTGGATAACAATTATTGCCTCTAGGGTAATCACTGTTACCTGGTGGAAAATAAGTATCGCCTGTAGGGTAACCACTTTTAAACGTGGGATAATAAGTATTGCGCAGTGGGTACCATTGTTACCCGCTGGATAATAAGTATTCCCTCATGGGTAACCACTGTTATCCGGTGCATAATAATTATTTCCTCTCGGGTAACCACTGTTACCCAGTGGATAATAAGTATTCCCTCGTGGATAAACACTGTTACCTGGCAGATAATACGTATTGCCTCATGGGTAACCACTGTTACCCTTGGAAAATAAGTGTTGCCTCATGGGTTACCCGTTTTACCCACTGGATAATAAGTGTTGCCTTGTGTGTAACCACTCTTACCATGTGGATAATAAGCATTGCCTCGTGGGAAAACAGTGTTACCCGATGGATAATAAGTATTGCCTCATGGGTAACCACTGTTAACTGGTGGATAATACATGTTGCCTCGTGGGTTACCACTCTTACCCTATGGATAACAAGAATTGCCTCGTGGGTAACCACTGTTACCTGGTGGATAATAAGTGTTGCCTCGTGGTTAACAACTGTTACCCAGGGGATAGTAAGTATTGCCCCTAGGGTAATCATTGCTACCCAGTGGATAATAAGAACGACCTCTGGGGTAACCACTGTTATCCAGTGGATAAGAAGTATTGCCTCGTGGGTAACCACTGTTACCCGGTGGATAATAAGTGTTGCTTCATGGGTAACCACTGTTACCTGGTGGATAATGAGTGTTGTCTTGTGGGTAACCAGTGTTACCCTCTGGATAATAGGTTTTATGTCGTGGGTAACCACTGTTACCCATTGTAAAATAAGTATTGCCTCATGTGTAACCAATGTTATATGGTAGATAATAACTATTGCCTCTAGGGTAACCACTGTTACCTGGTGGATGACAGATGTTTCCTCTAGGGTAATCACTGTGACCCGGTGGATAATAAATATTGCCTCGTGAGTAACCACTGTTACCCGGTGGATAATAAGTGTTGCCTCATTGGTAACCACAGTTACTCAGTGGATAATAATTATTGCCCCAGGGTAACCACTGTTTCCCGTTCAATGATAAGTATTGCCTCATTGGTAACCACTGTTACCCACTGGATAATAATTATTGCCTCATGGGTAACCACTGTTACCTGCTGGATAATAAGTATTGCCCATGGGTAAGCCCTGTTGCCCACTGGATAATAATTATTGCCTCGTGGGTAACCACTGTTACCTAGTGGATAATAAGTATTGCCCCGTGGGTAACCACTGTTAACTGGTGGATTATAAGTATTGCCTCATGGGCAACCACTGTTACCCAGTGGATAATAAGTATTGCCTTGTGGGTAACCATGGTTACCTGGTGGAAAATAAGTATTGCCTCTAGGGTAACCACTGTCTCCTGGTGGATAATAAGTATTGCCTCCAGGGTAACCACTGTTACCCAGTGGATAGTAAGTATTGCCTCGTGGGTAAGCACTGTTACCCGGTGGATAGTAAGTATTGCCTTGTGGGTAACCACTGTTACCTGGTGGATAATAAGTACTGCCTCATGGGAAACCACTGTAACCTGGTGGATAATAAGTGTGGCCTCATGGGTAACCACTGTTACCTGGTGGATAATACGTGTTGCCTCGTGAGTAACCACTGTCACCTTGTGGATAGTAAGTGTTGCCTCGTGAGTAACCACTGTTACCTTGTGGATAGTAAGTGTTGCCTCGGGGGTAAACACTGTTACCCTGTGGATGATAAATATTGCCCCGTGGGTAACCACCATTACCTGGTGGATAATAAGTATTGCCTCATGGGTAACCACTTCTAATGACTGGATAATAAGTATTGCCTTGTGGGTAACCACTGTTACCCAGTGGATAATACGTGTGGCCTTGTGGGTAACCACTGTTACCTGTTGGATAATACGTATTGCCTCGTGGGTTACCACTGTTTCCCAGTGGGTAATACGAGTTGCCTCATGCGTAACCACAGTTACCCAGTGGATAATAAGTGTTGCACTGTGGGTAACCACTGTTACTGGGTGTATAATAAGTATTGCCTCTTGGGTAACCACTGTTACCCAGTGGATAATAAGTATTGCCTCATGGGCAACCACTTCTACCACATGGATAATAAGTATTGCCTCTTGGGTAACCACTGTCACCCGGTGGATAATATGTATGGCCTCGTGGGTAACCACTGTTACCAGGTGGATAATAAGTATTGCCTCATGAGTAACCACTGTTACCCGGTGGATAATAAGTATTGCCTCGTGGGTAACCACTGTTATCTGGTGGATAATAAATATTGCCTCGTGGGTAACTGCTGTTACCCGGTGGATAATAAGTATTGCCTCTCAGGGAGGAGCCAAGATGGCCGAGTAGGAACAGCCCCGGTCTACAGCTCCCAGCATGAGCGACGCAGAAGGCAGGTGATTTCTGCATTTCCATCTGAGGTACCAGGTTCATCTCATTAGGGAGTGCCAGACAGTGGGTGCAGGTCAGTGGGTGAGCACACCACGTGCAAGCTGAAGCATGGTGAGGCATTGCCTCACTCGGGAAGCGCAAGGGGTCAGGGAGTTCCCTTTCCTAGTCAAAGAAAGGGGTGACAGACGGCACCTGGAAAATCAGGTCACTCCCACCCGAATACTGCACTTTTCCGATGGGCTTAAAAAACGGCGCACCAGGAGATTATATCCCGCATTTGGCTCAAAGGGTCCTACGCCCACGGAGTCTCACTGATTGCTAGCACAGCAGTCTGAGATCAAACTGCAAGGCGGCAGCGAGGCTGGGAGAGGGGCGCCCGCCATTGCCCAGGCTTGCTTAGGTAAACAAAGCAGCCGGGAAGCTCGAACTGGGTGGAGCCCACCACAGCTTAAGGAGGGCTGCCTGCCTCTGTAGGCTCCACCTCTGGGGGCAGGGCACAGACAAACAAAAAGACAGCAGTAACCTCTGCAGACTTAAATGTCCCAGTCTGACAGCTTTGAAGAGAGCAGTGGTTCTCCTAGCACACAGCTGGAGATCTGAGAATGGGCAGACTGCCTCCTCAAGTGGGTCCCTGACCCCTGACCCCCGAGCAGCCTAACTGGGAGGCACCCCCCAACAGGGGCAGACTGACACCTCACGTGGCCGGGTACTCCAACAGACCTGCAGCTGACGGTCCTGTCTGTTAGAAGGAAAACTAACAGAAAGGACATCCACACCAAAAACCCATCTGTACATCACCATCATCAAAGACCAAAGGTAGATAAAACCACAAAGATGGGGAAAAAACAGAGCAGAAAAACGGGAAACTCTAAAAAGCAGAGCGCCTCTCCTCCTCCAAAGGAACGCAGTTCCTCACCAGCAACAGAACAAAGCTGGACGGAGAATGACTTTGATGAGCTGAGAGAAGGCTTCAGACAATCAAATTATTCCGAGCTATGGGAGGACATTCAAACCAAAGGCAAAGAAGTTGAAAACTTTGAAAAAAATTTAGAATAATGTATAACTAGAATAACCAATACACAGAAGTGCTTAAAGGAGCTGGTGGAGCTGAAAACCAAGGCTCGAGAACTACGTGAAGAATGCAGAAGCCTCAGGAGCTGATGCGATCAACTGGAAGAAAGGGTATCAGTGATGGAAGATGAAATGAATGAAATGAAGTGAGAAGGGAAGTTTAGAGAAAAAAGAATAAAAAGAAATGAACAAAGCCTCCGAGAAATATGGGACTATGTGACAAGACCAAATCTACATCTCATTTGTGTACCTGAAAGTGACGGGGTGAATGGAACCAAGTTGGAAAACACTCTGCAGGATATTATCCAGGAGAACTTCCCCAATCTAGCAAGGCAGGCCAACGTTCAGATTCAGGAAATACAGAGAACGCCACAAAGATACTCCTCGAGAAGAGCAACCCCAAGACACATAATTGTCAGATTCACCAAAGTTGAAATGAAGGAAAAAATGTTAAAGGCAGCCAGAGAGAAAGGTCGGGTTACCCTCAAAGGGAAGCCCATCAGACTAACAGCAGATCTCTTGGCAGAAACTCTACAAGCCAGAAGAGAGTGGGGACCAATATTCAACATTCTTAAAGAGAAGAATTTTCAACCCAGAATTTCATATCCAGCCAAACTAAGCTTCATAAGTGAAGGAGAAATACAATACTTTACAGACAAGCAAATGCTGAGAGATTTTGTCACCACCAGGTCTGCCCTAAAAGAGCTCCTGAAGGAAGCGCTGAACATGGAAAGGAACAACCGGTACCAGCCACTGCAAAATCATGCCAAAATGTAAAGACCATTGAGACTAGGAAGAAACTGTATCAACTAACGAGCAAAATAACCACTTAACATCATAATGACAGGATCAAATTCACACATAACAATATTAACTTTAAATGTAAATGGACTAAATGCTCCAATTAAAAGACACAGATTGGCAAATTGGTTAAAGAGTCAAGACCCATCAGTGTGCTGTATTCAGGAAACCCATCTCACAGGCAGAGACACACATGGGCTCAAAATAAAAGGATGGAGGAAGATCTACCAAGCAAATGGAAAACAAAAAAATGCAGGGATTGCAATCCTAGTCTCTGATAAAACAGACTTTAAACCAACAAAGATCAAAAGAGACAAAGAAGGCCATTATTTAATGGTAAAGGGATCAACTCAACAAGAAGAGCTAACTATCCTAAATATATATGGACCCAACACAGGAGCACCTAGATTCATAAAGCAAGTCCTGAGTGACCTACAAAGAGACTTAGACTCCCACACGTTAATAATGGGAGACTTTAACACCCCACTGTCAACATTAGACAGATCAATGAGACAGAAAGTCAACAACGATACCCAAGAATTGAACTCAGCTCTGCACCAAGTGGACCTAATAGACATCTACAGAACTCTCCACCCCAAATCAACAGAATATACATTTTTTTCAGCAACATACCACACCTATTCCAAAATTGACCATATACTTGGAAATAAACCTCTCCTCAGAAAATGTAAAAGAACAGAAATTATAACAAACTGTCTCTCAGACCACAGTGCAATCAAACTAGAACTCAGGATTAAGAATCTCACTCAAAACCACTGAACTACATGGAAACTGAACAACCTGCTTCTGAATGACTACTGGGTACATAACGAAATGAAAGCAGAAATAAAGATGTTCTTTGAAACCAATGAGAACAAAGACACAACGTACCAGAATCTCTGGGACACATTCAAAGCAGTGTGTAGAGGGAAATTTATAGCACTAAATGCCCACAAGAGAAAGCAGGAAAGATCCAAAATTGACACCCTAACATCACAATTAAAAGAACTAGAAAAGCAAGAGCAAACACATTCAAAAGCTAGCAGAAGGCAAGAAATAACTAAAATCAGAGCAGAACTGAAGGAAATAGAGACACAAAAAACCCCTTCAAAAAATTAACGAATCCAGGAGCTGGTTTTTTGAAAGGATCAACAAAATTGATAGAAAGCTAGCAAGACTAATAATGAAAAAAAGAGAGAAGAATCAAATAGACGCAATAAAAAATGATAAAGGGGATATCACCACCGATCCCACAGAAATACAAACTACCATCAGAGAATGCTACAAACACCTCTATGCAAATAAACTAGAGAATCTAGAAGAAATGGATAAATTCCTCGACACATACACCCTCCCAAGACTAAACAAGGAAGAAGTTGAATCTCTGAATAGACCAATAACAGGCTCTGAAATTGTGGCAATAATCAATAGCTTACCAATGAAAAAGAGTCCAGGACCAGATGGATTCACAGTCGAATTCTACCAGAGGTACAAGGAGGAACTGGTACCATTCCTTCTGAAACTATTCCAATCAATAGAAAAAGAGGGAACCCTCCCTAACTCATTTTATGAGGCCAGCATCATTCTGATACCAAAGCCGGGCAGAGACACAACCAAAAAAGAATTTTAGACCAATATCCTTGATGAACATTGATGCAAAAATCCTCAATAAAATACTGGCAAACGGAATCCAGCAGCACATCAAAAAGCTTATCCACCATGATCAAGTGGGCTTCATCCCTGGGATGCAAGCCTGGTTCAATATACACAAATCAATAAATGTAATCCAGCATATAAACAGAACCAAAGACAAAAACCACATGATTATCTCAATAGATGCAGAAAAGGCCTTTGACAAAATTCAACAACCCTTCATGCTAAAAACTCTCAATAAATTAGGTATTGATGGGACATATCTCAAAATAATAAGAGCTATCTATGACAAACCCACAGCCAATATCATATTGAATGGGCAAAAACTGGAAGCATTCCCTTTGAAAACTGGCACAAGACAGGGATGCCCTCTCTCACCACTCCTATTCATCAGAGTGTTGGAAGTTCTGGCCAGGGCAATTACATAGGAGAAGGGAATAAAGGGTATTCAATTAGGAAAAGAGGAAGTCAAATTGTCCCTGTTTGCAGACGACATGATTGTATATCTAGAAAACCCCATTGTCTCAGCCCAAAATCTCCTCAAGCTGATAAGCAACTTCAGCAAAGTCTCAGGATACAAAATCAATGTACAAAAATCACAACCATTCTTATACACCAACAACAGACAAACAGAGAGCCAAATCATGAGTGAACTCCCATTCACAATTGCTTCAAAGATAATAAAATACCTAGGAATCCAACTTACAAGGGACGTGAAGGAACTCTTCAAGGAGAACTACAAACCACTGCTCAAGGAAATAAAAGAGGATACAAACAAATGGAAGAACATTCCATGCTCATGGGTAGGAAGAATCAATATCGTGAAAATGGCCATACTGCCCAAGGTAATTTACAGATTCAATGCTGTACCCATCAAGCTACCAATGACTTTCTTCACAGAATTGGAAAAAAACTACTTTAAAGTTCATATGGAACCAAAAAAGAGCCCTCATCGCCAAGTCAATCCTGAGTCAAAAGAACAAAGCTGGAGGCATCACACTACCTGACTTCAAACTATACTAAAAGGCTACAGTAACCAAAACAGCATGGTACTGGTACCAAAATAGAGATATAGATCAATGGAACAGAACATAGCCCTCAGAAATAACACCACATTTCTACAACTATCTGATCTTTGAGAAACCTGAGAAAAACAAGCAATGGGGAAAGTATTCCCTATTTAATAAATGGTGCTGGGAAAACTGGCTAGCCATATGTAGAAAGCTGAAACTGGATCCCTTCCTTACACCTTATACAAAAATCAATTCAAGATGGATTAAAGACTTAAACGTTAGACCTAAAACCATAAAAACCCCAGAAGAAAACCTAGGCATTACCATTCAGGACATAGGCATGGGCAAGGACTTCATGTCTAAAACACCAAAAGCAATGGCAACAAAAGCCAAAATTGACAAATGGGATCTAATTAAACTAAAGAGCTTCTGCACAGCAAAAGAAACTACCATCAGAGTGAACAGGCAACCTACAAAATGGGAGAAAATCTTCGCAACCTACTCATCTGATAAAGGGTTAATATCCAGAATCTACAATGAACTCAAACAAATTTACAAGAAAAAAACAAACAACCCCATCAAAAAGTGGGCAAAGGACATGAACAGACACTTCTTAAAAGAAGACATTTATGCAGCCAAAAAACACATGAAAAAATGCTCACCATCACTGGCCATCAGAGAAATGCAAATCAAAACCACAATGAGATACCATCTCACACCAGTTAGAATGGCAATCATTAAAAAGTCAGGAAACAACAGGTGCTGGAGAGGATGTGGAGAAATAGGAACACTTTTACACTGTTGGTGGGACTGTAAACTAGTTCAATCATTGTGGAAGTCAGTGTGGCGATTCTCAGGGATCTAGAACTAGAAATACCATTTGACCCAGCCATCCCATTACTGGGTATATACCCAAAGGGCTATAAATCATGCTGCTATAAAGACACATGCACACATATGTTTATTGCGGCATTATTCACAATAGCAAAGACTTGGAACCAACCAAAATGTCCAACAATGATAGACTGGATTAAGAAAATGTGGCACATATACAGCATGGAATACTATGCAGCCATAAAAAATGATGAGTTCATGTCCTTTGTAGGGACATGGATGAAATTGGAAATCATCATTCTCAGTAAACTATCGCAAGAACAAAAAACCAAACACTGCATATTCTCACTCATAGGTGGGAACTGAAAAATGAGAACACATGGACACAGGAAGGGGAACATAACACTCTGGGGACTGTTGTGGGGTGGGGGGAGGGGGGAGGGATAGCACTGGGAGATATACCTAAGGTTAGATGACGAGTTAGTGGGTGCAGCGCACCAGCATGGCACATGTATACATATGTAACTAAACTGCACATTGTGCACAGGTACCCTAAAACTTAAAGTATATATATAAAAAAAGTATTGCCTCGTGGGTAACCACTGTTACCCGGTGGGTAATAAGTATTGCCTCGTGGGTAACCACTGTCACCCGGTGGATAATAAGTATTGCCTCATGAGTAATCACTGTTACCCAGTGGATAATAAGTATTGCCTCATGGGTAACCGATGTTACCCGGTGGATAATAAGTATTGTGTCGTGGGTAACCGCTGTTACCCAGTGGATAATAAGTATTGCCTCGTGGGTCACTACTGTTACCCGGTGGATAATAAATATTGCCTTGTAGGTAACTACTATTACGTACTGGATAATAAATATTGCCTCATAGGTAACAGCTACTATTACCTAATAGATAATAATTATACTTTATATATAATATATAATTTAATAATATGTAAGAATTGTATAGTATAATATTATTATATTGTAAATATAATGTAATATATAAATTATATATTATAATAAAATATATTATAATTTATTATGTTATAAATAAAATTTATCATATAATATATAATAAATAAATGATCATATATACATATTATATATGTATATGTATATATGTATAATATATATGTATATGTGTATATATGTATAATATATATGTATATATACTATATATGTATATTATCCACCACCACCACCAATACTTATTATCCACTGGGTAACATAATAGAATATATAATATATAAATATTATATATTACATATAGTTATATATGATATAAATATAAATATACATATATAATTTTATATAATATAAATATAAATATATAATATATAATTTATAAGAGTTATACATTATATATACTATATAATACTCCATAATATATATTATAGTATTTTATTTTATATTATATTTTGCTATATATTTATTATATATGTATATATTTGTTATATATTTACATATATCATATATTTATTGTATATTGATGTATATATTTATATTTTATATATATTTATATATAATAAATGTAAATAATAAATGTAAAATAAATATATAGTATATATATTTATATATATAAATTTATATATTTATATAATATAATATAATATATATAATATATAATATATATAAAATATATTATAATATATCATATATTATATAATTATATATTATATATTATATAATTATATATAATTATATATTATATATATATAATTTATAATAATATATTATAAAATTATATAATTATATAATATATAATTATATAATTATATATTATATAATTTTATGTAATACAATATTATATTTTATATAATTATATAATAATATATATTATATGATATTTTATATAATTATATATTATATATTATATATTTTTATATAATATATAATAATATATATTATATAATATATAATGTAATATTTTATTATATAATTGCATTATTATTTTATATTTTGTTTTTTATAATTTATCTTTTATGTATTTTATATATTTTACATTATATTTTATATAATTTATATTTCATATATTATTTTATATATTTGGTATTTTATTTTATATAATTTATATGATTATATTTTATTATGTATAAACATGTATATTACATTATATATATAAATATATGTAACATATAATATATAATATATAAGAATGTTATATAGTATTATGTTATATTATAAAATTCTAATGTAATAAAATATATAATTATATTATGTGGTATTACATTTTATTATATGATTATATTATATATACTATATAATATATTATGTATTATATTATATATTATATATTATATTTTATTATATGTTATATACAATATAGTATAGTATACAATGTATATTTTTTCTTTTTTTTATTTTAGTATTATTATACTTCAAGTTTTAGGGTACATGTGCACAATGTGCAGGTTAGTTATCCATATATACATGTGCCATGCTTGTGTGCTGCACCCATTGACTCGTCATTTAGCATTAGGTATATCTCATAATGCTATCCCTCCCACCCTGCCCCCAGCCCACAACTGTCCCCAGAGTGTGATGTTCCCCTTCCTGTGTCCATGTGTTCTCATTGTTCAATTCCCACCTATGAGTGAGAACATGTGGCGTTTGGTTTTTTGTCCTTGCGATTGTTTACTGAGAATGATGATTTCCAATTTCATCCATGTCCCTAGAAAGGATGTGAACTCACCATTTTTTATGGCTGCATAGTATTCCATGGTGTATATGTGCCACATTATCTTAATCCAGTCTATCATTTTTGGATATTGGGGTTGGTTCCAAGTCTGCTATTGTGAGTAGTGCCACAATAAACATATGTGTGCATGTGTCTTTATAGCAGCATGATTTATAGCCCTTTGGGTATATACCCAGTAATGGGATGGCTGGGTCAAATGGTATTTCTAGTTCTAGATCCCTGAGGATTCGCCACACTGACTTCCACAATGATTGAACTAGTTTACAGTTCCACCAACAGTGTAAAAGTGTTCCTATTTCTCCACATCCTCTCCAGCACCTGTTGTTTCCTGACTTTTTAATGATTGCCATTCTAACTGGTGTGAGATGGTATCTCATTGTGGTTTTGATTTGCATTTCTCTGATGGCCAGTGATGGTGAGCATTTTTTCATGTGTTTTTTGGCTGCATAAATGTCTTCTTTTGAGAAGTGTCTGTTCATGTCCTTTGCCCACTTTTTGATAGAGTTGTTTGTTATTTTCTTGTAAATTTGTTTGAGTTCATTGTAGATTCTGGATATTAGCCCTTTGTCAGATGAGTAGGTTGTGAAGATTTTCTCCCATTTTGTAGGTTGCCTGTTCACTCTGATGGTAGTTTCTTTTGCTGTGCAGCAGCTCTTTAGTTTAGTTAGATCCCACTTGTCAATTTTGGCTTTTGTTGCTATTGCTTTTGGTGTTTTAGACATGAAGTCCTTGCCCATGCCTATGTCCTGAATGGTATTGCCTAGGTTTTCTTCTAGGGTTTTTATGGTTTTAGGTCTAACATTTAAGTCTTTAATACATTTTGAATTAATTTTTGTATAAGGTGTAAGGAAGGGATCCAGTTTCAGCTTTCTACATATCGCTAGTTGGTTTTCCCAGCACCATTTATTAAATAGGGAATACTTTCCCCATTGCTTGTTTTTCTCAGGTTTCTCAAAGATCAGATAGTTGTAGATATGTGGCATTATTTCTGAGGGCTCTGTTCTGTTCCATTGATGTATATCTCTGTTTTGGTATCAGTGCTATGCTGTTTTGGTTACTGTAGCCGTGTAGTATAGTTTGAAGTCAGGTAGTGTGATGCCTCCAGCTTTGTTCTTTTGGCTTAGGATGAACTTGGTGATGAGGGCCCTTTTTTGGTTCCATATGAACTTTAAAGTAGTTTTTTCCAATTCTGTGAAGAAAGTCATTGGTAGCTTGATGGGGATGGCATTGAGTCTATAAATTACCTTGGGTAGTATGGCCATTTTCACGATATTGATTCTTCCTACCCATGAGCATGGAATGTTCTTCCATTTGTTTGTATCCTCTTTTATTTCCTTGAGCAGTGGTTTGTAGTTCTCCTTGAAGAGTTCCTTCACGTCCCTTGTAAGTTGGATTCCTAGGTATTTTATTATCTTTGAAGCAATTGTGAATGGGAGTTCACTCATGATTTGGCTCTCTGTTTGTCTGTTGTTGGTGTATAAGAATGGTTGTGATTTTTGTACATTGATTTTGTATCCTGAGACTTTGCTGAAGTTGCTTATCAGCTTGAGGAGATTTTGGGCTGAGACAATGGGGTTTTCTAGATATACAATCATGTCGTCTGCAAACAGGGACAATTTGACTTCCTCTTTTCCTAATTGAATACCCTTTATTTCCTTCTCCTGCGTAATTGCCCTGGCCAGAACTTCCAGCACTCTGATGAATAGGAGTGGTGAGAGAGGGCATCCCTGTCTTGTGCCAGTTTTCAAAGGGAATGCTTCCAGTTTTTGCCCATTCAGTATGATATTGGCTGTGGGTTTGTCATAGATAGCTCTTATTATTTTGAGATATGTCCCATCAATACCTAATTTATTGAGAGTTTTTAGCCTGAAGTATTGTTGAATTTTGTCAAAGGCCTTTTCTGCATCTATTGAGATAATCATGTGGTTTTTGTCTTTGGTTCTGTTTATATGCTGGATTACATTTATTGATTTGCATATATTGAACCAGGCTTGCATCCCAGGGATGAAGCCCACTTGATCATGGTGGATAAGCTTTTTGATGTGTTGCTGTATTCGGTTTGCCAGTATTTTATCGAGAATTTTTGCATCAATGTTCATCAAGGATATTGGTCTAAAATTCTCTTTTTTGGTGGTTTCTCTGCCCGTCTTTGGTATCAGGATGATGCTGGCCTCATAAAATGAGTTAGGGAGGATTCCCTCTTTTTCTATTGATTGGAATAGTTTCAGAAGGAACGGTACCAGTTCCTCCTTGTACCTCTGGTAGAATTCGACTGTGAATCCATCTGGTCCTGGACTCTTTCGTTGGTAAGCTATTGATTATTGCCACAATTTCAGAGCCTGTTATTGGTCTATTCAGAGATTCAACTTCTTCCTGGTTTAGTCTTAGGAGGGTGTATGTGTCGAGGAATTTATCCATTTTTTCTAGATTCTCTAGTTTATTTGCGTAGAGGTGTTTGTAGTATTCTCTGATGGTAGTTTGTATTTCTGTGAGATCGGTGGTGATATCCCCTTTATCATTTTTTATTGCGTCTATTTGATTCTTCTCTCTTTTTTTCTTTATTAGTCTGCTAGCGGTCTATCAATTTTGTTGATCCTTTCAAAAAACCAGCTCCTGGATTCGTTAATTGTTTGAAGGGTTTTTTGTGTCTCTATTTCCTTCAGTTCTGCTCTGATTTTAGTTATTTCTTGCCTTCTGCTAGCTTTTGAATGTGTTTGCTCTTGCTTTTCTAGTTCTTTTAATTGTGATGTTAGGGTGTCAATTTTGGATCTTTCCTGCTTTCTCTTGTGGGCATTTAGTGCTATAAATTTCCCTCTACACACTGCTTTGAATGTGTCCCAGAGATTCTGGTACGTTGTGTCTTTGTTCTCATTGATTTCAAAGAACATCTTTATTTCTGCCTTCATTTCGTTATGTACCCAGCAGTCATTCAGGAGCAGGTTGTTCAGTTTCCATGTAGTTGAGTAGTTTTGAGTGAGTTTCTTAATCCTGAGTTCTAGTTTGATTGCACTGTGGTCTGAGAGACAGTTTGTTATAATTTCTGTTCTTTTACATTTTCTGAGGAGAGGTTTATTTCCAAGTATATGGTCAATTTTGGAATAGGTGTGGTGTGTTGCTGAAAAAAATGTATATTCTGTTGATTTGGGGTGGAGAGTTCTGTAGATGTCTATTAGGTCCACTTGGTGCAGAGCTGAGTTCAATTCCTGGGTATCGTTGTTGACTTTCTGTCTCATTGATCTGTCTAATGTTGACAGTGGGGTGTTAAAGTCTCCCATTATTAACGTGTGGGAGTCTAAGTCTCTTTGTAGGTCACTCAGGACTTGCTTTATGAATCTAGGTGCTCCTGTATTGGGTCCATATATATTTAGGATAGTTAGCTCTTCTTGTTGAGTTGATCCCTTTACCATTAAGTAATGGCCTTCTTTGTCTCTTTTGATCTTTGTTGGTTTAAAGTCTGTTTTATCAGAGACTAGGATTGCAATCCCTGCATTTTTTTGTTTTCCATTTGCTTGGTAGATCTTCCTCCATCCTTTTATTTTGAGCCCATGTGTGTCTCTGCCTGTGAGATGGGTTTCCTGAATACAGCACACTAATGGGTCTTGACTCTTTATCCAATTTGCCAGTCTGTGTCTTTTAATTGGAGCATTTAGTCCATTTACATTTAAAGTTAATATTGTTATGTGTGAATTTGATCCTGTCATTATGATGTTAAGTGGTTATTTTGCTCGTTAGTTGATACAGTTTCTTCCTAGTCTCAATGGTCTTTACATTTTGGCATGATTTTGCAGTGGCTGGTACCGGTTGTTCCTTTCCATGTTCAGCGCTTCCTTCAGGAGCTCTTTTAGGGCAGACCTGGTGGTGACAAAATCTCTCAGCATTTGCTTGTCTGTAAAGTATTGTATTTCTCCTTCACTTATGAAGCTTAGTTTGGCTGGATATGAAATTCTGGGTTGAAAATTCTTCTCTTTAAGAATGTTGAATATTGGCCCCCACTCTCTTCTGGCTTGTAGAGTTTCTGCCAAGAGATCTGCTGTTAGTCTGATGGGCTTCCCTTTGAGGGTAACCCGACCTTTCTCTCTGGCTGCCCTTAACATTTTTTCCTTCCTTTCAACTTTGGTGAATCTGACAATTATGTGTCTTGGAGTTGCTCTTCTCGAGGAGTATCTTTGTGGCGTTCTCTGTATTTCCTGAATCTGAACGTTGGCCTGCCTTGCTAGATTGGGGAAGTTCTCCTGGATAATATCCTGCAGAGTGTTTTCCAACTTGGTTCCATTCACCCCGTCACTTTCAGGTACACCAATGAGATGTAGATTTGGTCTTGTCACATAGTCCCATATTTCTCGGAGGCTTTGTTCATTTCTTTTTATTCTTTTTTCTCTAAACTTCCCTTCTCGCTTCATTTCATTCATTTCGTCTTTCATCACTGATACACTTTCTTCCAGTTGATCACATCAGCTCCTGAGGCTTCTGCATTCTTCATGTAGTTCTCGAGCCTTGGTTTTCAGCTCCATCAGCTCCTTTAAGCACTTCTCTGTATTGGTTATTCTAGTTATCCATTCGTCTAAATTTTTTTTCAAAGTTTTTAACTTCTTTGCCTTCGGTTTGAATTTCCTCCTGTAGCTCAGAGTAGTTTGATTGTCTGAAGCCTTCTTCTCTCAACTCATCAAAGTCATTCTCCGTCCAACTTTGTTCCATTGCTGGTGAGGAACTGTGTTCCTTTCGAGGAGGAGAGGTGCTCTGCTTTTTAGAGTTTCCCGTTTTTCTGCTCTGTTTTTTCCCCATCTTTGTGGTTTTATCTACTTTTGTCTTTGATGATGGTGATGTACAGATAGGTTTTTGGTGTGGATGTCCTTTCTGTTTGTTAGTTTTCTTTCTAACAGACAGGACCGTCAGCTGCAGGTCTGTTGGTGTTTGCTAGAAGTCTACTCCAGACCCTGTTTGCCTGGGTAACAGCAGCAGTGTCTGCAGAACAGCGGATTTTCGTGAACCGTGAATGCTGCTGTCTGATTGTTCCTCTGGAAGTTTTGTCTCAGTGGAGTACCCAGCCGTGTGAGGTGTCAGTCTGCCCCTACTGGGGGGTGCCTCCTAGTTAGGCTGCTTGGGGGTCAGGGGTCAGGGACCCACTTGAGGAGGCAGTCTGCCCATTTTCAGATCTCCAGCTGTGAGCTGGGAGAACCACTGCTCTCTTCAAAGCTGTCAGACTGGGACATTTAAGTTTGCAGAGGTTACTGCTGTCTTTTTGTTTGTCTGTGCCCTGCCCCCAGAGGTGGAGCCTACAGAGGCAGGCAGCCCTCCTTGAGCTGTGGTGGGCTCCACCCAGTTCGAGCTTCCCGGCTGCTTTGTTTACCTAAGCAAGCCTGGGCAATGGTGGGCACCCCTCCCCCAGCCTCACTGCCGCCTTTCAGTTTGATCTCAGACTGCTGTGCGAGCAATCAGCGAGACTCTGTGGGCATAGGACCCTCCGAGCCAGGTGCAGGATATAATCTCCTGGTGCACCGTTCCTTAAGCCCGTCGGAAAAGTGCAGTATTAGGGTGGGAGTGACCCGATTTTCCAGGTGCCGTCTGTTACCCCTTTCTTTGATTAGGAAAGGGAACTCCCTGACCCCTTGCGCTTCCTGAGTGAGGCAATGCCATGCTCTGCTTCGGCTCATGCACGCTGCGCTGCCCCCACTGTCCTGTGCCCACTGTCTGGCACTCCCTAGTGAGATGAACCTGGTACCTCAGGTGGAAATGCAGAAATTAGCTGTCTTCTGCATCGCTCAGGCCGGGAGCTGTAGACTGGAGCTGTTCCTATTCGGCCATCTTGGCTGCCCCACCTATGTAACATATTACATATAATTTATTTATATATAATTTACTTGTATTATATATGTAATATATTGTATCTATTCTATAATATATTCTATAATATATAATATAGTAATATAATATAAAATAATATATAATATATATTATATTAAATATAAAATAATATAAAATATAATATATATTATATTAAATATAAAATAATATAAAATATAATATATATTATATTAAATATAAAATATAATATATATTATATTTTATATTAAATATAAAATATGTTATATATTATATTAAATATAAAATATAATATTATATTATATATTATATTAAATATAACATAATAGTTTGTATTAAATATATTATATATAATATAATATAATAATGTTATATAATGTAATAATATATTATTTTATAATGTAACATAATTATATTATTTTATAATATATAATTTATTTAAAATATAATATATAATATAATGTAATATAATATATGATTATATATTGTATTATGTTATATGTAATATATTATATATAATATATGATATATTAATAATATATATAAATAATTTATATATTATATATAATTTATATATATTATATTTTAAAATGTAATTTATATATATAAATTATATATTATAAAATATAAAATATATAGTATATAATATATAATACATTATTTTGTTCATTTTAAATTTTTATATATTTATATATTATATGTTTATATTGTATCCATATATAAATGTAGCATATATATGCTACTGTTTCTTTATCCACTCATGTGTTCGTCAGTTGTGAATTGTGCTGCAATATATATTCACGTGCAGATGTCTTTTGATGTGACTTCTTTTCCTCTGGGTAGACACCAAGTAGTGGGATTGCTGCAGTCAATGGTAGATCTAATTATAGTTCTTTGAGAAACCTCCATACTATTTACACAGAGGTTGTACTAATTTACACTCCCACCCACAATGCATAAGTGTTCCCTTTTCACCACATCTTCACGAACATCTGTTGGTTTTTTACTTTTTAATAATGGCCATTCTGACTAGGGTAAGGTGGTATCTCATTATGCTTTTAATTTCCATTTCCCTGATGATTAGTGATACTGAGTATTTTTTATATGTTTGTTGGTGTTTGTATGTCTTCTTTTGAAAAATGTGTGTCCATGTAATTTACTCACTTTATAATAGAACTATTTATTTTTTCTTCCTAATTTGTTTGAGGTCCATGTAGATTCTGGATATTAGTCATTTGTCAAATGTGTAGGTTACAAATATTTTCTCTCATTTTGTAGGTTTCCTGTTTTCTCTGTTATTTGTTTTGCTGTGCAAAAGGAAAAAGGCAGTAGAACACATAGAGCAAGAATTAGAATTAAGTGTAATCAACATCATTGGAGAATGATAAGGTACAAATATGTAAAATGCAAAACAGAAACAAGACATCAGAAAGAAGAACCAGTTGAAGTTTCTTGGTCTGAAAAGTATAATAACTGAAGTAAATAGTAGTCTGGTGCACGAGTAGAATGTATACAAAAATCAAATTAGTGAGCTGGAAGATTAGGCTGAAGAACTCTCCCAGAAATAATCAAGAAGGAATATAGAGTTGAGAAAACATGAAAGACAAGTTTAAAAATATGGAGGAAAGAAATAATAATATCACTATCTATATTTTAAAAATTCCAGAAAGGTAGTGTAAAAAATCCAGTGAAAAGTGGAGAAGCAATACGTTATTTTCAAGTACACATGAAACCCAAAAATAGACTACATACTGAGTCACAAAGGAAATCTCAGCAACTTTCAAATTCATCATTTAAATGTAAATTGCAATGAAATTGCAAAATATTTGACAATGAATAACAATGAAAGTACTTTATATCAAACATTAGGGAATGCCACCAAATTATATTGAGAGGGAAATATGTAACTGTACATGCAGCTATTAAATAGCAGTGAAAATTAAGACTAAATGTGCTAGGTGTCCAAGTCAAGAATAGGAAGAGAATAGCACAGTAAACCTGGAAAAAGTAGAAATCAAGAAATCACAAATGGAAAAGATACTAATAGGAGGTAAAACAAAGAAACAATAGAGATGATCAACAGAATAAAACCTAACTCTTAGAGCACACTGAAAGTGGGCAACGTTCTAGTACATTTGATCAAGGGGAAAAGAAAATACAGAAGCGATTAATTTTCAAAATGAAAAAGGGTATATCACATCTGACACCAGGAAGATTTTTTAAAGATTATTTGGGGAATAAAACAGGATACACATCTGAATTGGTGTTCTCATGAAAGAACACTAGAGTAACTTTATGCCAACACATTTGCAAAGTTTGACACAGAGGACATATTTTTGTGGTATATAACAACACAATTGATGAGAAGATAAATTTTAAAAACCCAAATAAAAAAGTAATTATTCTCTGCATAGTTATTTCTTTCCAAAGAATACAGCATGGAAAAGGAGAAAGATTAACTTCCAAAGTGGAAAAGGCTGGCAAACACTACCTCAGCTAGATGATCAAGATCAACACTAGCAGTGAAAATTGTAATGTGTACCCTTGATATGATGTGATGAAAATGGCATTTTACTTCTGTGGTCCTTCTCCCCCAGTTCAAAAAACCCGGTCTAACAATGAGAAAAACACCAGATAATTCCCAATTGAGGGATACTGTTTATAAAATACCTGACCATGAGCAGTGGTTTGTAGTTCTCCACATGTGCAGAACATAGATATACACGTACCATGGTGGTTTGCTGCACTCATCATCCCACCATCTACAGTAGGTATTTCTCCTAATGCTATCCCTCCCCACTCCCCCCAGCCCCCGACAGGCCCAGGTGTGTGATTTTCCCCTCCCTGTGTCCATGTGTTCTCATTGTTCCACTCCCACTTATGAGTGACAACATGCAGTATTTGGTTTGTGTTAGTTTGCTGAGAATGATGGTTTCCAGCTTCATCTATGTCCCTGCAAAGGACACGAACTCATCCTTTTGATGGCTGCATGGTATTCCATGGTGTACATGTGCCACATCTTCTTTATCCAGTCTATTATTGATGGACATTTGGGTTGGTTCCAAGTCTTTGCTATTGTGAATAGTACTGCAATATACATATGTGTGCATGTGTCTTTATAGTAGAATGGTTTATATTCCTTTGGGTATATACCCAGTACTGGGCTTGCTGGGTCAAATGGCATTTCTAGTTCTAGATCCTTGAGGAATCGCCACACTGTCTTCCACAATGGTTGAACTAATTTACACTCTCACCAACAGTGTAAAATAATTCCTACTTCTCCACATGCTCTCCAGCATCGGATGTTTCCTGACATTTTAATGATCGCCATTCTAACTGGCATGAGATCGTGGTTTTGTGGTTTTGATTTGCATTTCTCTAATGACCAGTGATGATGAGCATTTTTTAATGTTTGTTGGCTGCATAAATGTCTTCTTTTGAGAAGTGTCCATTCATATCCTTTGCCCACATTTTGATGGGGTTGTTTGTTTTTTTCTTGTAAATTTAAGTTCTTTGTAGATTCTGGATATTAGCCCTTTGTCAGATGGATAGATTGCAAAAATTTTCTCCCATTCTGTAGGTTTCCTGTTCATTCTGATGATAGTTTCTTTTGCTGTGCAGAAGCTTTTTAGTTTAATTAGATCCCATTTGTCAATTTTGACTTTTGTTGCCACTGCTTTTGGTGTTTTAGTCATGAAGTCTTTGCCCATGCCTACATCCTGAATGGTACTGCCTAGGTTTTCTTCTAGTGTTTTTATAGCTTTAGGTCTTACATTTAAGTCTTTAATTCATCTTGAGTTACTTTTTGTATAAGGTGTAAGGAAGGGGTCCAGTTTCAGTTTTCTGTATATGGCTAGGCAGTTTTCCCAACACCATTTATTAAATACGGAATCCTTTCCCCATTGCTTGTTTTTGTCAGGTTTGTCAAAGATCAGATGGTTGTAGATGTGTGGCGTTATTTCTGAGGCCTGTGTTCTGTTCCATTGGTCTATATATCTGTTTTGGATACCAGTTCCATGCTGTTTTCATTACTGTAGCCTTGTAGTATAGTTTAAAGTCAGGTAGCATGATGCCTCCACCTTTGTTCTTTTTGCTTAAGATTGTCTTGGCTATATGGGCTCTTTTTTGGTACCATATGAAACTTAAAGTAGTTTTTTTTTTAATAATTCTGTGAAGAAAGTCTGTGGTAGCTTGATGGGGATAGCAGTGAATCTATAAATTACTTTAGGCAGAATGGCCACTTTCATGATATTAATTCTTCCTATTCATGAGCATGGAGTGTTTTTCCATTTTTTTGTGTCCTCTCTTATTTTCTTGAGCAGTGATTTGTAGTTCCCCTTGAAGAGGTCCTTCATATCCCTTTTAAGTTGTATTGCTAGGCATTTTATTCTCTTTGCAGCAATTGTGAATGGGAGTTCACTAATGTTTTGGCTCTCTATTATTGGTGTATAAGAATGCTTGGGATTTTTGCACATTGATTTTGTATCCTGAGACTTTGCTGAAGTTGCTTATCAGCTTAAGGAGATTTTGGGCTGAGATGATGGGGTTTTCTAAATATACAATCATGGCATCTGCAAACAGAGACAATATGACTTCCTCTCTTCCTGTTCGAATACCTTTATTTCTTTCTCTTGCCTGATTTCCCTGGCCAGAACTTCCAATACTACGTTGAATAGGAGTGGTAAGAGAGGACATCCTTGTCTTGTGCTGGTTTTCAAAGGGAATGCTTCCAGCTTTTGCCCATTCAGTATGATATTGGCTGTGGGTTTGTCATAAATTGCTCTTATTATTTTGAGATATAGTCCATCAATACCTAGTTTATTGAGAGTTTTTAGCATAAAGGAGTGTTAAATTTTATCAATTGCATTTCTAAGCAGTAATAATAACTTACTAAAAATGTAATAGAAAAATATCCTATTTGCTACTGCATGTACAACATCTAAAATTAAAATAAGATATAAAATATTTTTATGGACATTACAATATTGAAGGACATGAAAGAAGGCATGAATAAATGGAATATTATGTCATGTTTATGAACTGGAAGTTCTAATATCATAAAGATGGTAATTCCCCCTCAAATTTTATCAAATCTCTATAAGCTGATTCTAAATGTTATATGGAAGAGCAAAGGGCCAAAAATACATATCTAAATCTGCAGAGGATGAAAATAATGGAGCCCACCCTGCCAGATATCAATTTAAAAAAAAAAACTGTAATTAAGACAGTGTAGCATTTGCATAGCTATAAACAAATTGACCACTAAGATAGAATTAAAAGCGCAGAACTCAATCTATTAATAAAAGCTTGATAAATAACAGAAATTGTCATGACATATTGATGAAAAAGCATAAACACTTAATAAATGATTATTCACACTATTAAAAAAAAAAACAGGCCGGGCATAGTGTTTTATGCCTGTAATCTCAGCACTTTGGGAGGCTGAGGCAGGCGGATTCCTTGAGGTCAGGAGTTCAAAACCAGCCTGGCCAACATGGTGAAACCCCATCTTTACTAAAAATACAAAAATTAGCTGGGCGTGATGGCGTGCACTTATAATCTCAGCTACACAGAGGCTGAGGCAGGAGAATCACTTGAACCCGAGAGGCAGAAGCTGCAGTGAGCTGAGATCATGTCACTGCACTCCAGCCTGGGTGACAGAGTGAGACTCCATCTCGAAAATAAATAAGTAAAAATAAAAAAACCCAGTCCCCAAAAGATTCCCTATACCACATCATGCATGCCTCTGCAAATTCCAGGTAGATTAATCTGAATGTGAAAAGGCGAACTTTAAAATTTCAGGAGAAAATGGAAAATGATGTATTTTCTGGAGAATAAAAGGATTTCTGAAAGACAAACAAAAACCAAAAACAAAAACATAAATGATAGAAGAAAATGTTGATAAATTTAACTATATTAAATTTTTGAATTTCAGTGCAATAAAAGATACCCTAAACCAAGTTAAAATGCAAGGCATAAGCTATGTCCAATTAATAAAATGAACAATGTATTTGTGTCCAAAGTTAGCAAAGAACTCCTCCAAAGTAAAGGGAAAGAAAACCCAAAAGAAAAATGAAGAAAAGACATGAATAAAGAATTCATATAAAGTGATATTTGAATGACTAATACGTATATGTGAAAATATTCAATGTTACTAATTATAAAATAAGTGAGAATTCAAATCACAGTGACAGATGTCATGTTCATTAGATAGGCCAAATTTGAGAGTATAAAAATTATAATTTGTTGATAAGTATTTGGCATAATGGGCTCTTCTATCCTTCTGCTATGAGAGTCATTTTGGCAGAAAATTTTGGCAACATCTAGTAAAATTAAATATGTATATAGCCTTTGACTCAGCATTTATATCTATTGGTTAGTACTTCAGAGAAAAATCTCTTGATTTTGCTAGGTTAAATGCAGATATGATATGATCTGCAAATAATGACAACTTGTGACTTCCCTTCAACTTCTTTTATTTCTTAATATGTTTTCTCATTTTTATATGCTGGCCTGAGGTAATAGTGGTAACTTTGTCATTTCTATATCTTAAACTAACTATGTCTAAAGTTTCTCTGTTAAGTGTAATCACTGCTATGGAATTTCAGCAGATAGCCTTTTAAAAATATGAGGGCTCTATTCTACTTCTAGTTTTTCAAGAATTTTTTTCATAAATATTATGTATATTTATATTACAAATAAATATAAATAACTTAATCAAGTTCTTTTCTGTATCTATTAAAATAAGTGTTAATTTTTATCCTTAAGTCCTTAGGTGGTATTTCAGTGAATTATATTTATAAATTTTTCTGTTATGAAAACATTCTTGTATTCTTGAGGTGAATCTCATTTCATCATGAGGTTAAGATCACTTAACTTTATTAGAACAATGTAATTTTTTAAAAAACCTGAATTATAAAAGTGAGTTATCATAAGTCAAATATAGTTGCTATTCATTTCAATAAGAAAATATGTTACATATTCTCAGCATCAAAATAACAAGTATTTTTACTATAACACCACCAAATACCATTAAAATAGACCCAATTACCTCAATAATTAAAAATTATTTTGAGGACACAACCTGCCAAGATAGTTTCTCTTTATTAATTACACAATATAATAAGTTTTGTCTTTTCTCATTAAAGAGTTTTCTTTTTAAGCTAGTATACACTTTAGGCTTAAGACTATGGTTACAAAGCAGGACCATATGTGATTCTCAATGTTTATCCAAAAAACAAAAAACAGAGCAAAGGAACTTGATAGAAGCAAGGCAAATGATATTATACTCACTAGAAAGTTGCCAAATAAGAAGCATGAGATTGGAGATTATCAGTGCTGTAAACCAGCACAAGTGTCCTGAAAGGAGAAGAGACACTGACGGCACACCTTCAAAGGTGAGCCATGATTGGGTCTCATCTCCTAAAGCACACCTGCTTGCAATGTGCCCTAAATCCAGAATGAACCTTGTGAACAAACATGAGCCCTCATAAGTTGAAATGGTAATATTAAATAAAACTGCTAATTACAGTGATTCTCATTACCTGAATGGATATTTATCACTGCTATATTATTCACCTTCTACATTCGTAGATTTGGGTAAGTAATGTCTCACTTAAGATTTTGAGTTTATGTTCCTAAGTTAAATGGGCCTGTAATTTTCTTTTATTGTACTGTGCTTATGAGCTTTGGTATAAAGTTTTATAAAATGAATTTTGGGTGTTCCCTTTACTTTCTAGAACAACTTATATAAGATAGAAGGAGTTCTTCCATAAAAGTTTGATAGCTGTCACTTGTAAAACTATCTAAATCTATCTAGTGCTTATTTAAAGGGGGACAAAGTCTTTACCATGTTTTATTTCCTTAATGCTCACTAACTATGTAAGTTTCCTGTTTTTTCTTAAGACAATTTTGGTATTCTCTATTTTTTGGAAATGTGTCACTACTAGGTTTTACATTTGCTGTTTAATAAATTTCTTAATATTCTCTCTTTCAGCTTCTGGATTATATATGGTTATTTATTCTGATTCTGTATTTTGTCTCTTTCTCTCAATCAGTATTTGGGAGACTTATTTTATTTTATTTTTTTTTTTTTTGAGACAGAATCTCACTCTGTCACCCAGGCTGGAGTACAGTGGCATGATCTGGGTTCACTGCAACCTCTTCCCCCTGGGTTTAAGCGATTCTCCTGCCTCAGCCTTCTAAGTAGCTAAGATTACAGGTGCCTGCCACTGTGCATGGCTAAGTTTTGTAATTTTAGTAGAGACGAGGTTTCACCATCTTGCCCAGTCTCGTCTTGAACTCCTGACCTCGTGATCCACCTGCCTTGGCCTCCCAAAGTTCTGGGATTACAGGCATGAGCCACTGTTGCCGGCCGACTTAACGTTTTTTTAAGAACTAGATTTTAGTTTTGTTAATATTCCCTGTGGTATATAAGACATATATTGAGTCTTTGCCCTGGTTCCTGAGACAGAGCTCCAAAAACCCTTAGAATCTCCTAATGATAGGAGTATCTTTGCCTATTTATAATGAGCCCTTTTTGAGCACATCTGAGTTTGTGCTAGTGAAGTGATTCAGGGAGGGGCCCCGAGATGACCTTAAGATGGGGGCTACTCACCAGTCTGAATTTGAAGGCATGAGAACCAGGAGAGCCAATGGTGTAGGTTCAGTTCAAAAGCTGGTAGGTTGAAGGTCCAGGAAGAGCCAATGTTTTGGTTCTACTCTGAAAACAGGACAAAAACCCATATCTCAGTGTGAAGGCATTCAGGCAGGAAGAATTCTCTCTTACTCAGCGGAGGGTCAGACTTTTGTTCTATTCAGGCTTTCACAAATTGGATGAGGCTCACCTACATTGGGGAGGACAATTTGCTTTAGTCAGTCTACTAATTTAAACGTTAATCTACCAAAAAACACTCTTATAGAAACACCCAGAGTAATGATTATCAAATATGTATACCTCATGACCCAGTCAAGTTGATACATAAAATTAATCATCGTGTCTACACTTGTCAAGTTAGCACCCATATGCATCTCCTTAAGTCATACTTAATCTCCAAATGAAGACAATGACAAGGTTGTAATTCCACCTAATATATGATACAACTATCCCGCATACAACTAAAAACTTACTAACTTCTTCTCCAGAAAAGGAGATAAAGTCCTTGAGTGATGTTTACTCTTCTTGATAGTCTATAACTTAAATACTTGATATCTTATAATTTGTATACCATAGTCAAAATGATATAATATAAAGTGAACAGTACTTAAATACTATGATACGAAGTCAATACATCTTATGTTATATGATAAGGGGATAAGAGGAAACAAAAAAATATTTGCTTTTTTATACACACAATACAAATATATTTTTATACAAAAATAATAAGGAAATACTCATGACAATTACAGTCCTTGTTTATGTAACTGGTCACATGGTTATAACTGATATTTATCCTCCACTACCATTCCATATTCCTTTCGCCTTCAGCAAGCACCTCAGCTTGTCATGTTTTTTTTTTTTTAACTGGTGGGGTGACCCAAACCTTTACTTTTGAAGGGTCTGGACCATTAATCCTGCCTTGATTGGGTCATTTTAGTTTTCCATGGACCTTAATCTTAGGGCATGGTAATACTAATGAACCACACAAAGACTTGCACATACATGTTCTTAGAAGCATTATTCTTAGTAGCAAAAAATTAGAGAAAATCTAATGTATTTTAACTGGTGAATGGATAGACACAATGTGGCATATGAACACAATGAAGTAATATTCAGCAATGAAAAGGAATGAACTACTAGTACATGTTAGCATATGGAAGGACCTCACAACTATTATGCTCAGTGAAAGAAACCAGACACAAGAGACCACATGTTGTGACTCCACTTGATTGAAATTGCCAGAAAAGGCAAAGCTATAGAGACAGAAAGCCCATCAGTGGTTGCCTGGGCAACTAGGTAAAAAACATCTTGAGATGATGAAAATTTTCTAACTTATGAAGATGGTAATACACCCCTATGAAATATAAAGTAGGTTGAGCTGGAAGAAGACTGGAGGCGGGGGTAACAGGTAGTAGGAGGAAATGATCATAGGAGTCCAAGGCCAGGTGGGGTGATGAATCCAATTGCCTTTTTTGACTCACAAAATAGCCTCCAGAATAGACTTTCTGCCTTTGGGCTAATATTTACCAACCATTTCCCATGTTCAAATATGTACTTGAGGGTTCTGACACTCCTTTCAGTTACAATGTTTTACTAAGGCAGGGATTCTAGGGCTGGTTGGTAAATGCGTGCAGTTTGTAAGAAGCTTCAATTGTACATTTGAAATGGATGAATTATATTATATGTAAAATATGCATCCCATAGAGTTCTATTTTAAAAGGTCAATAAAGATTTCTGTTTCTACATAAACTGTAATAAACTTCAAAAACACTGCTTCCACCCTAACAATGAGAAAAAAAATCCAGGTAATATACAAAAGTGTAACTTTCTCAAATACATCATAAAGCTCAAGTAGCAAGAAGACCAAATGGCCGGAATTCTAAAGAGGAACAAGCCCTTTCAGGGAGAGATAAAATACACAAACGATTTCATCTTTGGTAGAGCACAGGAAAAAGAGGAGAGAGCATATAAAAAGGAAAGAAGAATCCTGCAAGAATAAAAATGAATTGTTAAACGCCAAATGTGAGCTAGTGTGCTAATTTGGAATAGCTGGGATCACCAGAAAAGAGGATGTCACAATCACCCATGAGCTCTTCCCTATGATCCTCCACTGCTATTTATGAGAAAGACTCAGAGAAGACCAGGAGATTGAGAGGGTACTCCTATTTGGTGCAGGCATGAAGGAAGTAATTGGCAGCAGCTAGGGGATGGGCATAAAGCCCTGGCCTTAAGCAACAGCCTTACATCAATGGAGGAAGGGCAAGTACTGTTCTCCTTCCCCAGGAAGTGAGAAAAAATCTACACTGCAAAGGGAGGAGGTGGAAGAATAAGACCTCTATCCCTAGGGAAGGGGCAGGAAGCTGTCTTGGACCCAGGATATATGCTGATATCAAGCAGAAATCTGCTACCATCATAAGTAGGGCAGGCAACTCCCACCCAAGACCAACCATGGATACAAGGCAGAGTGCGGTTGCCACAAGAAGGAGGAGCAAGAACTCTGGAAAGACTCTCTCTAAGTTCCAGGTACTTGCCAAAGACAAAGGCTGGACCCGGAAAACAGAGTCTCACTGCTGCCCTACCCCAAGAAACAACAGTAAAAACGGCAAGCTGCAGCTGGTGGAGGGGCAGCCTGGTAATACTGGCTAACAGAGATGGCTGAGAGCACATCAGGAAGCAGGAACACTGAGGAAAAACCCTCTTGCAACTCAGCCCCCACCCTAAGCACAAGGCAACAAAGAATTTGAAGTCTGTGGTACATTGAAGGTAATAATATAATAGCTAGCATAATGTATAATAATATATATACAATATTACATATATTATATATAATAGAATGTGTCCAGATTTGGTTCCTTCCAGTGGGTTCTTGGTCTCGCTTACTTCAAGAATGAAGCCGTGGACCCTCGCGGTTGAGTGTTACAGTTCTTAAAGATGGTGTGTCTGGGGTTTCTTCCTTCAGATGTTCAGATGTGTCCGGAGTTTCTTCCTTGCGGTGGGTTCGTGGTCTCGCTGACTTTAGGAGTGAAGCCGCAGACCTTGTTACAGCTCGTTAAGGTGGCACGTCCGGAGTTGTTTGTTCCTCCTGGTGGGTTCGTGGTCTCGTGGTCTCGCTGGCTTCAGGAGTGAAGCTGCAAACGTTTGCGGTGAGTGTTACAGCTCATAAAGGTAGTGTGGACCCAAAGAGTAAGCAGCAGCAAGATTTATTGCAAAGAGCAAAAGAACAAACCTGCCACAGCATGGAAGAGAATCCGAAAAGATTGCCACTGCTGGCTTTGCTGGCCAGCCTTTATTCCCTTATTTGGCTCTGCCCACATCCTACTGATTGGTCCATTTTACAGAGCACTGATTGGCCCATTTTACAGACTTCTGATTGGTCCGTTTTACAGAGAGCTGATTGGTCTGTTTTTACAGAGTGTTGATTGGTGTGTTTGCAAACCTTTAGTTACACACAGAGCGCTGATTGGTGTGTTTTTACAGAGTGCTGATTGGTGTGTTTACAAACCTTTAGCTAGACACAGAGTGCTGATTGGTGCATTTACAATCCTTTAGCTAGACAGAAAAGTTCTCCAAGTCCCCACCCGACCCAGAAGCCCAGCTGGCTTCACCTCTCAATAATAGCAAAACAGAAACCATAAACAAAACAAAGAAACAAACCAAATTATTAGGGTGCTGTTAGGTTCACAGTGGCACTCCAGCTTGCTGCATCCCAGGTTGAAGTGGAACTTGAAACTCAATTGGAACTCCAAAGCATTTGTTACCCAACTGATAAAGCTATTTACTTTTTCTAAAACCTACACCAATACTTAAATTTTTTTTTAATCTACTGCCTAGAGTGTTTCACACACTGGCCAATGCACTCTAGTAAGATTCAGGATGGGTGAGAGATAAGCAGGGAGAGAAGGGTCATACTGAGAGGGGCTCTGAGACCTCAGTTGAGTTAGCAGGTGAATTTGGTGCATGAAAAAGTATTTATGGACATTGAGCATCTGGAAGGGGAAATGATGCCCTTAAGGCATCCTGTTCCTTCCTACCCCTTTGGAAAGGCTTCAGAGCACCAGAGCCAAAGCTCCCTGTGCCTAAGCTTGAAACTCCCTAGACTGCGATTTGTACAGTCAAAAATTCAGTGTCCAGAGTGAGATTCCAACACTTTCAGGATTTGAGATTTTGGGCAGATGTGTTAAGCTTTTAGGGTCACACAATTCTCTACTATATAATGAGGATTATGATGGAATTCATCTCTAAGGGCTGTTTTGAGGATTAAAAGAGATGGTCCATGTAAAATGCTTAACACAGTGAGTGTTGCTCGACATATGTTAACTGTTATTGTCATAATTGTCATCAGGAGGTAATAAAGTCTTGAAATCATTCTTGAAGTTAGAATTAAGAAGAGGTAATTGAAGCAAAGAATATTGTAGAGAACCTGACTTGCTGAATGAACATGAAGAGTGATAGAGCACAGTCAAGAATGGCTCTGTGTTTTGAGACTCTGGGGTTGGCAGAATAGTGGCATCTATGGCACACTGGAATGCCTGTGTCTAGTTTATAAAAGGCAGCGCATTCAGCTAGAGCATTTTCCATTTGGTACTGCAAGCCCAGTGGTGCCAATCACTTTTTCAAGTGAAGCCAGAAATCCAGATGATTATGTAAAATCTGAAGTTTTAGTATTCTTAAAAATCTGGAGCAAACAAAAGATGACTGTGAGAAGCAAATTTGCAACCTCTGTGTAAAATCTGGGGGGTTCTGCTGATGTAGAACTCATCATTATATATTCCATTGAGCCTTGTGCCTTTTTACTCATTGAATGTATAAATTTTCAAAACAAGGGTTTTCTAAGAAGCATAAATAACAATACTGACTTGTTTTATAAGTTTCAAAGTTATAAAAGTATCTGGAGAAAGGGTTTTTAAAACAAAACATTTATTATTCTAGATTTAACAGTGTAGGACTGGAGGTGCAAAAGGCAATGTAAGCAAACATTATAAAAATGTTCTATAAGGGCTGAGCCCCAGACAATATTGTTCAAGAAAGCAGCAGCCATCTCAGTCTGTTCTTGGTACTTTTATTGTCCCTATAAGCTCAACGGTTTTGTTGTATAGACAATAAACCATCTATTTTTTTTCTCCCTTGCTCATGTGACTCTACATTTCTTTCTGCCTCCAGAAGGCAGCTTTGAAAATATTTAACCCTTGGGTGCTTGTACTCCGTATTTCATTACCTTTTCTTGTTAGGACTACCCTTGTCCTGCTTTCCCTTTTTTTTTTTTTTTTTTTTTAGACAGAGTCTTGCTCTGTCGCCCAGGCAGTGGCACGATCTCGGCTCACTGCAAGCTTCAACTTCTGGGTTCATGCCATTCTCCTGCCTTAGCCTCCCGAGTAGCTGGGACTACAGGCGCCCACCACTATGCCTGGCTAATTTTTTTGTATTTTTAGTAGAGACAGGGTTTCACTGTGTTAGCCAGGATGGTCTTGATCTCCTGACCTCGTGATCTGCCCATCTCGGCCTCCCAAAGTGCTGGGATTACAGGCGTGAGCCACCGCGCCTGGCCTGTCCTGCTTTCTTTTCTACCTACCTCTAGAAAGCTCAAGATTCCAGCTTTCCTAAGCAAGGAGCAGCAATCTACATTTGTAAACTAGAGAGGAAGTTCCCATGATGTCTTGAAACATGAGTTCCAGTTAGCCAGGAGAAGGAGGCATACTTGGAAGGAAGGCATACCCGGCAGAGGGAAAAACATGCAAAGCATGAACATAGGAAAATCAAGTTATGTTTGGTAATGACAATGATACAAAGTGGTGAAGGTATGTACAAAGAAGCAGGAGATGAAGTTGGAAAGTAGACCCCACAGTGGCTTTCAGGATCCAATCTACAACCCTCAGCCTGGCATTGAAGTCTCTTTATCACTGAGCATTTCCAGAGTGAGATGCCTGCCTTCCACCCAGAGAAAAACACATCCAAAGCCCCTCAGGAGCTTTGAATGAAACAGAGCTGTGTTAAATACATGCTCTGCCACATTCAAGCTACCGGATCTCAGGAAAGTTGTTTAAAATCTTTGGATCCCAACTATTTTTTTTTTATTTCTTCTAAAAAAAAAATGGGATACACATGCAGAATGTGCAGGTTTGTTACATAGGTATATGTGTGCCATGGTGGTTTGCTGCACCTATTGACCCATCTTCTATGTGCCCTCCCCTCACCACCCCAACCCCCAACAGGCTCTGGTGTGTGTTGTTCCCCTCTCCATGTCCATGTGTTCTCAATGTTCAACTCCCACTTATGAGTGAGAACATTCGGTGTTTGGCCCTCTGTTCCTGTGTTAGTTTGCTGAGGATGATGGCTTCCAGCTTCATCTATGTCCCTGAAAAAGACATCTCGTTCCTTTTTTATGGATGCATAGTATTCCATGGTGTATATATACCATATTTTCTTTATCCAATCTATCACTGATGGACATTTGACTTGGTTCCGTGTCATTGCTATTGTAAATAGTGCTGCAATAAATATATGTGTGCATGTGTCTTTATAGTAGAATGATTTATTTTCCTTTGGATATATACCCAGTAATGGGATTGCTGGGTCAAATGGTATTTCTGGTTCTAGATCCTTGAGGAATCGCTATACTGTCTTCCACAATGATTGAACTAATCTATATTCCCACCAACAGTGTAAAAGCATTCCTATTTCTCTACAGCCTTGCCAGCACCTATTGTTTCCTGACTTTTTAATAATCACCATTCTGACTGGTGTGAGATAGTATCTCATTGTGGTTTTGATTTGCATTTCTCTAATGACCAGTGATAATGAGCTTTTTTTTCTTCATATGTTTGTTTGCCACGTAAATATCTTCTTTCGAGAAGTGTCTGTTCATATCCTTTGCCTATTTTTTGATAGGATTGTTTGTTTTTTCTTGTAAATATGTTTAAGTTCCTTGTAAATGCTGGATATTAAACCTTTGTCAGATGGGTAGATTGCAAAAATTTTCTCCCATTCTGTAGGTTGCTTGTTCACTCTGATGATAGTTTCTTTTGCTGTGCAAAAACTCTTTAGTTTAATTAGATCCCATTTGTCAATTTTCACTTTTTTTGCCATTGCTTTTGGTGTTTTAGTCATGAAGTCTTGGATCATGCCTGTGTCTTGAAGGGTATTGCCTAGGTTTTCTTCTAGGGTTTTTATGGTTTGAGGTTTTACATTTAAGTCTTTAATCCATCTTGAGTGAATTTTTGTATAAGGTGTAAGGAAAGGGTCCAGTTTCAGTTTTCTGCATATGGCTAGCCAGTTTTCCCAGCACCATTTACTGAATAGGAGATCCTTTCCCCATTGCTTGTTTTTGTCAGGTTTGAGGAAGATCAGATGGTTGTAGATGTGTGGTATTATTTCTGAGGCCTCTGTTCTGCTCCATTGGTCTATATATCTGTTTTGGTAGCAGTACCATGCTGTTTTGGTTACTATAGCCTTGTAAAATTCAACATCTCTTCATGTCAAGAAAAACCTCTCAACAAACTAGGTATTGATGGAACACATCTCAAAATCATAAGAGCGATTTATGACAAACCCACAGCCAATACTGAATGGGCAAAAGCTGTAAGCATTCCCTTCAAGGATGCCCTCTCTCATCACTTCTATTCTACATAGTTTTGGAACTTCTGGCTAGGGCAATCAGGCAAGAGAAAGAAATAAAGCGTATTCACATAGGAAGAGAGGAAGTCAAATTGTCTCTCTTTGCAGATGACATGATCTTATATTTAGAAAACCCCATCATCTCAGCCCCAAAACTTCTTGAACTGATAAGCAACTTCAGCAAAGTCTCAGGATACAAAAATCAATGTATAAAAATCATAAGTATTCCTTTTCACCAACAAAAGGCAAGCAGAGAGCCAAATCATGAATGAACTCCTATTCACAATTACTACAAAGAGAATAAAATACCTAGGAATACAGTTAACAAGGGATGCAAAGGACCTCTTCAAGGAGAACTACAAGCCACTACTCAAGGAAATAAGGGAGGATACAAACAAATGGAAAAGCATTCAATTCTCATGGATAGGAAGAATCAATATCGTGAAAATGACCATACTGCCCAAAGTAATTTATAGATTCAGTGCTATTCCCATCAAACTACCATTGACATTCTTCACAGAATTAGAAAAAACTATTTTGAATTTCGTATGGAATCAAAGAAGACCCTCTATAGCCAAGACAATTCTAAAAGCTGGAGGAATCATGCTCCCTAGATCCCAAGTTTTTCATCTCTAAAATGGGTATCAAATATGTTGCCTCAAAGAGATGTTGTGATAAGTTAATTGCATGAAAAATATTTATAATATACTTAATACAGTACTGATAAACAACTTCAGCAAAGTCTCAAGACCCAAAATCAATGGGCAAAAATCACAAGCACTCCTTTACACCAAAAATAGGCAAGCAGAGAGCCAAATCATGAAATTAATTATATGAAAAATATTTGTAATATACTTAATACAGTACTTGATATTTATTATAAAATACCCTTAAAATAGTAACTAGTAGTAGTAGTGTTTAAAAATATCAAATTACTGCCTGTAATCCCAGCACTTTGGGAGGCCGAGATGGGCAGATCACAAGGTCAGGGGATCGAGACCATCCTGGCTAACACGGTGAAACCCCGTCTCTACTAAAAATACAAAAAAAATTAGCCAGGCGTGGTGGTGGACACCTGTAGTTCCAGCTACTCTGGAGGCTGAGGCAGGAGAATGGCATGAACCTGGGAGGCAGAGCTTGCAGTGAGCTGAGATTGCGCCACTGCACTCCAGCCTGGGTGACAGAGTGAGACTCCATCTCAAAAACAAACAAACAAACACCAAATTACTTTTAGTTCCGGATTGTACTATACTCATCCTCAGTTACACAATTTTTCAGATGCTAGGACCTCCACATGGAATTCCCCTGATGCCTTCTCTGTCTTTCCTACCTCTATCTCTGATTGCAGTTGATGGTTCTCTGTTTTTAGCACAGAGGTTCTTAGCCAGGGGTCCCCTTGGGAGATCTCGATATAGAATTTAGAGGAGTCTGTGAACTTAGGTGGGAAAAAGATTACATCTTTATTTTTCACTAACATCTAACTGAAGTTCAGCATTTTCTCTAATTTGAATGTAGGCAATAAAGCTCAGCAGTATTAGTGATATCCAAGATTTTTAACAATGGAAATCACAGTATTTCATATCATGCTACAATTTTTGCAGGTATCACAAAGTGCCACTTACTCTTACCACTACTTTGAAATTATAGCAATTAGGCCCACACTAGATATTGCTATTTAATGTCGTATAATAGGAAGGATGTATATTTATATATCATAATAAAAATACTTAGGAAACTGTAATTTAATATGATTGGTTTTCTTTATAATTTTTATATTTGAATTCATGCATTTAAAAACACTGTTTTGAGAAATAGTCCATAGATCATAAAAGGCTTCCTTGTACAAAGAAAAAAAGATATAAGAACCCCTGATTTAGCACTTACCATTATATTTTTCATTAATTTAGTTAAATATACTCTTTTCACTTACAAATCAGCTTCCAGCCCCAATTTTACAGACTGAGCAAAATCTCTCATAGTTTCATTTAACACCATCATCTTCTCAATCAAAGACGAATAGAATACAGTTATTTAGCATTAGTCATAGACTATTAATGCCAAATCAGTTAGTTTATTGAACCAACTAACTTATTGCTTTCTTTAAGTTAGAATTATATTTCCTGGTCTAAGGACCTTGTCTTCCTAACATAATTTTGTTCCCTTTAAAATAAACCCTGGAGGACTTAGCTGCAAGAGGCATCATCAATCCCGTCATAAAAAAGAAAAATCCGGATAATCTGCAAAATAACTTTCATTTAACTTATTAGAAATTGAGGTCACAGGCCAACCATCTAGCTTAAAATCTAATGAAAGGCAGAGCAGAAAGAACACAAATACTGACTCACTTTTGAAAAGGGAGCAGGGGAAGAGGATGAACTGCCATATAAACAGGTAAGAAGAATTTGGCTAAATTTTAAAAATGAATTTCTAAAGGCTGAATGTGGGCTAGTATGAGAGTATAGAATTTCCGGGAGCACAGACGTAAAGAGACTTTGCACATAAAGGGAATTTGTTCCTACCTAGTACCTCTTTGTTTTGGACCTCCACTGGGCACTCATGAGAAAGATGGGTCAGGGCAGGAGACCAGACCTCACTAATGCAGGCCTGGAGGGGGAGGGTAGCTGCCTCAAAGGGAAAGACATAAAGCTCCCTCATGCCCTTCTTCTAAGAACACTAAAGTGTTATGCTACTGGCAGAAGGGCAGCAAACTCTGTGACTTCAAGACACATATGAAGATCCCTGTGGTTGGGAAAATGGAAAAATAATAAGCTGTGAACTTCTTGAGGAAGGGCAGAAAACCGTCCTGGGGAGAGACAGGAAACTGTCCTGGGCCCAGACCATTAGAGATTTTCTAATGCTGTGGAGAAGAGGACAGGATCACTGAGAAGGCCTTTCCCTAACCCTACAAAATAACACGAACAGAAGACCTACCTAGGATTGAGGCTGATCACCAACAAAAGAGAATCTCACTCATTCTCCCAGTAGGCTAGGCAGCACCAGGTAGAAAGCAACAGCAATCTACCATGGAAGAAGGGACAAGGGCATGAAGAGAGGCTCTTTCTGGGACATTGACACACAAGGAAGGACAAAGCTAAGGGTGAAATAGGAACACTGAGAAAAACCCTTTGTCAAAACAATACTCACCTTAAGCACCAAGTAACCAGAAAAATTTGCAACAGAAACCTCAAGCACAGCTGGACTGACTAGATTGAGTCAATGCTCCTCCCTACCTCATGGCTCAGGAGAAGATGTGTACCCATTTCTTTGCATGAATATTGTTTATGTTAATCTATACTGTTTTAAACATTATACCTTTCAATAATAAACAAAGTATGAGATGTACAGAAAAGGAAGAAAAATAATCCATAGTAAAGAGCAAGGCAATCAATAGACTCAGAGATGACCAAATGTTGGTATTATCAGACAGAAACAGTCATCAAGATGAAGTATCGTTTTGATGGCCTTATCAGAAGAGTTGACAAGCATGAGGAAAGAATCAGTGAATGTGAGGATAGGTCAATGAAAATTATTCTGTTAAACAAAAAAAAGAGAAAAAAAGAGTGAAGAAAAAAAAAACAGTACAGATTACCCTAGAGATGTGAAATAATATCAAGTGGTCTAACAAAAAAAGTTTGGAAAACCCCCAAATATTTTGAAATGAAACAACATACTTCTACATAATTCAAGGGACAAATAAGAAGTCACAAGAATACTAGAAAATATTTTTAATGAAATGAATATGAAAATAATATATCAAAATATGGGGATGCAGGTAAAGCAGTGTTTGAGGGATAAGTTGTAACATTAAATACATGTATTAGAAAAGAACAAAGGTCTAAAATCAATAAACTAATCTTTCATGTTAAGAAACTGGAAAAAGAAAAACAAATTAAACCCAAAGTAAGCAGAGGAAAACAATAATGTAGATAAGAGCAAGTAATCAATGAAATTAAAAACAGAAACAAAATAAAGTAAATCAACGAAACAAAGCTAATTCTTTGTAAAGATCAATGTTACTGCTCAGGATGACTAAAAAGAGAGAAGGCACAAAGTGTCAGAAATGACAGAGGGAATATTATTACAGATATAACAGACATTAGACTGATAAGGGAATACTAAAGAATCATATCTATAAATTCTACAACTCAAAGGAAATGAGAAAACTCCTTGAAAGACACAAACTACCAACATTCACTTAAGAAAAATAGATAACCTGAAAATTCTATAGCTTTGGGAGAAACTACATTCCTAATGAAAAATCTGCATCAGGATTTTTCATAATTCCTAATGAAAAATCAGGCCTAAATGGTTTTATTTGCAAATTTGACCAAATATAAGGAATCAATACTAACAATTCTACTGATTTTTTTCAGAAAATAGAAGCACTTTGCAATTCATTTTATGAGAAAAAGAGATTCCAAAACCCTAATTTCAAAACTAGAATTAACATAGAGGCAAACATCCTCAACAAAGTATTAGCAAATTAAATTTAGCAATTTATATGATGGATAATATATCCTGACAAAGTGAGGCTTATCTTGGTAATAAAAGCCTTGTTCATCATTTGAAGATCAATCAATCAAAGTAATCACCATATCATTAGGCTAAAGAAGAAAAACCCTATGATAATCTCAGTATAAACAGGAAAATTATTTAACATAATTCAGCATTCTTCATAATGAAAAGTTATGGTAAACTAAAAATGGAAAGGAGTTTTCTTAACTCGATAAAGGCATTTAGGAAAATCTGTATTGATATCATGTTCAATGGTGAAAGACTGAATGCTTTGCCCCAAGATAAGGAAAAAAATCAATAATGTTCAATCTTGCTGTTCTTATTCAGCATTATACTGGAGGTGTTAGAAAGAAATAAAATAAAAGGCATACCATTTGGATAAAGGAAAATACAACTACATATTTTCACAGCCAATATGATTATCTAAATAGAAAATTCCAAAGAATCTACATAAAATCTACCAGAACTATTTAGTGTCAGCAAGATTATAAGGTTCAACGTTAATATAAAGTTTTTTTTAGGCCTGCCCCTTAATATAAAGTTTTATTGTTATTCTGTCAATCATCAGTTTAAAATTAAAATTAATAACACAGCATGATTAAGAATGGCACGGAAAACATGAAATACTTATGTGTAAATCTAATGAAATACACAAGATCTATATACTGCAAACCATAAACCATGATGAAAGAAATCAAAGAAGACATAAATAAATGGGCTCTGTTTGTGGATGGGCAGGTTCAATATGATTAGGATATTAGTTCTCCCAAAATTGATCTATAGATTCAATAAAATTCAAATCAAAATCCAGTAGGGTACTTTTTATTTAAATCAACAACTTGATTTTAAAATTTATGTTGAAAGGTAAGGGAAATAGAATAATCAATCGGTTTTGTAAAAGAAGAGCACTATTGGAGGACTCTGCAAAGGTTCTTGAGTCTGGTCCAGTGAGACAGAACACTTGTACCACAAGTCAGGCAAAGCAACTTTATTACTCAGATAGGCAACAAAGGTAAACAGAATCCTAGGATCCATGGTGAGCCAGCCTCTAAGGTTCAGGAACGCTGCCTGTTTTGTCTGCATTGTCATCATATTGCAACTGATGGACTTCAAAAGTACTCTCCTCTGAGTTTTATATCATGGGTACCATTTGGGTTGCTAAGTACAAGCATTGTAGAACATCCCATTCTGGATAGAACAAGGACAAAACCTTGATTGTTACAGACATTTCCTCTTTATCTCAGGATTTTGCATTATCTGTATATTCTTCCCAAGAAACGCAAGCAAGAGGGAGAAGAACTGCATTGGCCAAGGCCACTGGTGACTTGTCCTTTTACAAACACATAGTAGTTCAATTCAAAACTTGCTAGGAAGCTATAGTAATTAAGACAGTATGGTGTCAGTGAAAAGATAGACACAGAGGTTGACAGAAAAAAAATTAAGATTCTCTGTATATACCCACATGTATATGGTCAATGGGTTTTTGATGAAGGTGCAAAGGCAATTCAATGAAGAAATTTTGTCTTTTCAAGAAATTATCCTGGTAAAAGGACCTGTAGGAGGTGGGGTAAGATGGCAGAATAGAAGGCTCCACCAATCACCACCCTCTCCACCTACCCCCCGCAAGGACACCAATTTAACAACTATCGACACAAAAGAAGCACTTTTATAAGAACCAAAAGTCAGTACCTCATTTTAACTCCATATCACTGAAAGAGGCACTGAAGAAGTAGGAAAAAGCAATCTTGAATTGCCAACACAACCCCACCATCAACCCCCAGCATTGGTGACATAGTGTGGAGAGTGTTTCTGTGCACTGGGGAGAGAGAGAGAGTGCACAGGAACTGTGAGGCCTTGAACTCAGTGCTGCCCTGTTATAGCAGACAGCAAAACTGGACCAAACTCAGCTGATGCCCACCCACAGATAGAGCATTTAAACCAGCCCTAGCCAGAGGGGAATTACCCATCCGGGTTGTTGGAACTTGAGTTCCCACAAGCCTCACTGCTGCAGGCTAAAGTGCTATAGGACTCTAACTAAACTTGAAAGACAGTCTAGGCCACAAGGACTGCAACTTTTAGATGAGCTGCTACTAGTGCTGAACTTGGCCCAGAGTCAGTGGACTGGGGAGCACACAACTTTCTGAGACACCAGCTGCGGTGGCTAAGGGAGTGCTGGCATCACCCCTCCCCTAATTCCAGGCTGCACAGCTCACAGCTCCAAAAGAAACCCCTTCCTTTGCTTGAGGGGAGGAGAGGGAAGAGTGGTGAGGACTTTGTCTTCCATTTAGGATACCAGCTCAGTCACAGCAGGATAGGGTATGGGTCAGAGTTGTGAGGCTGCCGTTCCAGGCCCTAGCTCCCGAGTGACATTTCTGGATGCATCTTGGGTCAGAAGGGAACCTGCTGCCTCGAAGGAAAGGACCCAGTCCTGGCAACAGTTATCACCTGCTATCTGCAGAGCACTTGCGCCTTGAATAACCGGCAGCAATACCCAGGTACTATATTGAGGGCCTTGGGTGAGCCTATGAGGCTTGCTCTCTATAAGTACCAGCTCAGCCACAATGGAGGAGAGCAACAAGCAGCCTCTTGAGGTCCCTGATTCCAGCACTTGTCTCTTATACGGCATTTCTGGTCCTGCTCTGCACCAGACAGGAGCCCATTGCACTGAAGGGTCAGTACCAGGCCAGGCATCATTCACCAAAGGCTGACTGAAGAGCCCTTGGGCCTTAAGGGAACATTGGTGGTAGTCTGGCAGTACTCCCTGTGGGCCTATGACAGCAGCCACAGGTTGAAGTGCCTCTTTGGAAAGGGGAAGGGAAAAGAGGGGAGGACTGTGTCTTGTGGTTTCAGTGCCAACTCAGCCGCAGTACAGTAGAACCATTAATATCCATTGTAGCCTCAATGCTCTGCCTAGGCTGCTCTTGTAGCCTGCCAATGTCTGGATTGGTGGGCCCTCTTCCTGTTCAAGAGTTAGGACTAAATGGTTGCAGGTAACAAAAAACGGGTGTGGGTTTATGTAAAATAAAATGGGGGTTGTCTTAGAAGGACATGGTGGTGTCTAATGGAAGCCAAGAGCATGAGTGTCCCACCCTTCAGTAGGGGTGTAAACTGGGAGCTGTAAGGTCACCAGGCCCCTTCACCATCTCCTGTCTATCTCTATCTATCATCTCTATCTATCATCTATCTATCTATCTATCTATCTATCTATCTATCTATCTATCTATCTATCATCTATCCATCTATCATCTATTTATCTATCATCTATCTATTTATCTATCTATCTATCTATCTATCTATCTATCTATCTGATCTACCTACCTATCTATTGGCGAACTCAATAATAATAAGCAACCCAAGTAAAAAATAGCCAAAATTTAAACATTTCATCCAGAAAAGATATGGAGATGGATCATCCAGAAAAGATATGAGCATATAAAAAGATGCTCAGCATAATCTGTCATTAGGGAAATAAAAATAAAATCACAGTGAGACACTACTACACACCTATTAGAAGGTCAACTTTGGCACATTGCTGATGGGGTGCAAAAATGGTGCAGACACTTCAAAACAGTTTGACAGTTTCTTATAATGTTAAAACAGACTTACCACACAGCAATGCCACACCAGAGAAATGAAAACTTACGTTCACACAAAAGTTTATACGTGATTATTTATAGAGGTTTTATTCACAATTGCCAAAACTGGAAAATAATTCAAATGTCCTTCGACTAATTAAACAAGCTGGGATATATCCATACTGCTGAATGCTGTAATTCAGTGGCAATGAGATACACAAGTACTATAATATGAATCTCAAATGCAGTATGCCAAGAAAAAGAACACAGACTAAAAAGGCTTATATAACATTCTGGAAAAGGCAAAACCATCATGGCAGAAAACAAATTAAGGGCTTGTAAAGGTCTGGGATTAGGGACAAGGGCTGAACACAAAGGTGTATAAGTAAAGTTTTGGGTAGTGGAATTATTCTCTATCTTGATTGTGGTGGTAGTTACATTATCGTCGAAACTTACAACTGTAAACAAAAAAAAATAGTGAATTTTACTTCACGTAAATTGCACCTCAATAAATTGACTTCACGAAAACCTGGACAGAGTGTCATTTCCCACATTTGCTCACTGTCAGACTGTTCTGCACACACAGAAGAAAAGGAGCTCCTTGAAAGTACAGATTCCTTAAAGTTACATATATATAATTTTGTATGCACTTAATTACACAGTCCCCAACTTGTGAGGGTTTGACTTATGAGTTGTTGACTCATAAAGTGGTGCAAAAGTGATAAGCATTCAATAGAAACCGTACTTCCAATTTTGAATTTTGATCTGTTCCCCTAGCAATATGCTGTAGGATACTCTCTTGGGAGGCAGGGCAGCGGCAGAGAGCCTCAGCTCCCAGTCTGTCACACAATCACAAGGGTAAACAACCAATACTCTACAGTGTACTACTGGATTGTCAGATGATTTTGCCCAGCTGTTGGCTAATGTAAGTGTTCAGAGCACATTTAAAGTGGGCTAGGCTAAGCTATGATGTTTGGTAGGTTAGATGTATTAAATGCATTTTCAACTTAGGATATTTTCAACTTATGATGGGTTTAATGGAACATAACCCCATGTAAGCTGGGGCACATCTGTACACAGCATCACTATTATCTTATATTCCCATTTATCAAACAAAATGTGTATTAGGGTTTCATTATAGATATATAAAGTAGCCTTGCCACATCTTTCCCATGTTCTTTATGATAATGCCATTATCTTAGCAAAATACAGAAAGTAATATCTATTTAAGATAAATTCAAAAAATGCTTTCTAGTCTCTAAAATATTCTCTCAACCAGCTTTAAGTCATTTGAAATGCTAATTTCTCCCCCACAATCTCTCTAATTAGAATGTCGTGGTTATAAGCCCATCACGTCTTGATGATCTATTAACAATGATGTTCTGAACTTGTCCAAAGTTTTAAAATTCTGTGAACATAGCACAACCTGATTTCAATCCCATTTTCAGTCATACTTTGTGAAAACCATCCATATGCCAGTCCTTAATATATCATTTCTAAAAAGGAAGGAGTTTGAAAAGCCTGAGGTTCTCAAAGCATGCAAAGAGTTATGTACCTTTTAAAATATTTCAACAACTTCTCTGAAGCCCACGTAGTTAACATCAAATATTAGTAGGACAGGACAGCAAGAACTAGAACAGATTGCTAAGAGTCAGTGTAGGTGGAAGATAGTTCAGCAGGTTAAATAATTTGTAATCTGGAGTCAGTTAGAAAGACAGTGCATAGGTGGCAAACATCCACAGATGAAGTCAAGGTCAGAATCCAGGGACTTGGAGAAGGGCTAAGACTGTGCAGGTTTAAAGTTTCTCCTTGGAACTTTCCCTTCCTATCACATTACTGTAACTACTTGAAGCTAATTAAAGGTGCCATTTATTGACCACCTACAATGCACTAGGACCTTTGCTTGCACTAAAATAGTTGTCTCCATGACAAATCTGTGTGCAGTTATTATCACTCTTGTTTTACAAGTGAGGAGACTGAGGTAGGGGGCAGGGTTAGGAGTTGAATCTACAGGTTTCCGATTCCAGTGCCCTTACTTCCACACTATCCTGCATCTTATGAGAATCCTTCCAGTATTCAGGTTCATTTGGCCCTAGTGCACATTTTCCCAGACTTCTGATGACTCTCCACATCTTTAGACAGCCATGCCATCCTTTCCACTGACCTTCTCCTTCTCTCTCTAAGGCTCTCACATTTTCCCCATTTTGCTTTTTTGAAAGCTATATACCTTTGCTACCGTATAGCAGATTCATTCCTCTTTAAACCATTATCTTCCTGGGCTCACAGCAGCATTTTCATTTTTACGACATTTCTTGCTAGCCTGAGGCCAGTTCCAGGGCCTCCTTTAAAGTAAAGTAAAAGTCCCACAGATCCATAATTACCCCAATTTGGGGATGAAAGATTTTTTTTCCCCTAAAGGGAAATTGATTAAAAAATCAATTCAATTTGATTATTACTATCAAAGTATAAAACGTGTATCCTCACATCAGTATTGATTTGTCTTAAAATATTATATATGAACTTTCAAAGAAAAGGTAATTCTCTTTTTTTCAGAAATGGTAAAATGGCATAAGAAATTAACTGGATTGATAGTTAAGAGACCTGTTCTATCTGTTGATTAATAGGATATATGGCCTTAAATCATATAAGCCCTTAGTACTTTGGTTTTTTTATCTGAAATATTATTCATGGTTTCACAAAATAATTTCTAAAGAGGTATTAGGGTCTCAAATTGCTGGCATATGCATGTGAGAAGCTTTTATAAGGTAGAATATCAGCTTGTCTTGGAATGCCCTCTTAGAGTATTGGTCTTTTCCTTGTATTTACAACATTTGAACTGAATTCTTATTTCAGTCATAATGGACAGAATTACCAAAGGAAAAACAAATATTACCCTTCATTCACAATACCCACACTTCTCTTTATAGCATATATACATAAAAAACACCCCTGCACACATCCACACACATATGTCCACACCCATAGCCCTCAGAAACACAAACACAGGTTTGAACATTAATCAACATCTAACGTCCTCACTTTTAAAGTATGTTTCTGTTTTCCTTGTATTCATGCAACAAAATTTTACATGTGCCAGGTGTTGTTCTAACTGTGCTGTGATGGCCATGTGGTCCAGTGAGTTATCTGTATACATGAAGATATTTACGTGAAGATCCAGGTCCTGATTGACAGAGAGTGACAAAACTGGTTTTGTTCTTTTAGAAATGAAGGTATCTTTCTGAACTTTTTAAATTCATTCTTTAACCATTACAAATAGGAAGTTGAGAAAGAGTAACAGAGTGAATTTTAAAAAATGTTTTTAATAAACATAATTATATTTAATAACTAAACAAATTTCTCCTAAAATGTCAATTTGAAGCTTAATTCTGAAGTAATAGACTTCTAAATGTTAATTCAGTTAGAGATTATCCATTAATTAAACACGCAACACCAAAGATGTCCATAAATTCTTTGATACTCCACCCTCAAAGAAGTGGAACCCAATTCCCCACCTCTTGAGTAATAATGGATTTGTCTTGCTTCTAACAAATATAATTTGGTGGAAGTCATGACATGTGAGAGTAGGTCAAAGATGGCATTGTGATTTCCTCCTTGCTTTCTCTCTTGGATTACTTGCTTTGGGGAAAACCAGCTGCCACATCATGAGTACGCTCAACAGTCCATGGAAAGTGGCGAAGAACTGAGACCTTGCTAACAGACAGCAAAGAACTGAGGCCTCCTGACAACAGCCATCTGAGTCAGCCATCTTAGAAGTAAATCTTCCAGCCCCAGTCAGGCCTTCAGATGATGAGCGTATCTCCAGCTGCCATACTGACAGAGACCTCATTAGAGATCTTGAGGCAGAACCACCCAAATAAGCCACTCCTAAGTTCTCAACTGCACAAACTATGAGATAATAAATGTTTATTGTTTTAAATTACTAAGTTACACAGCAGTAGATAACTAATACACAGAGGATACAGAAACAAGCAAACAAAAAATTGTGACAAGCACTATTTGTAACAGTGAGGTTGAGGTTCTACAGGTACACACAGAAGGAACCTCAGCCTTTCTTAGGGAGAAGGATGTTCAGGAAGTGTTCTTGGAAAAGACTGAATACCTCTTGATAGATGGATAGTGTGCCTGCTCTTAAGCTATTGGCTCTCAACTCCAAACTACTTTTCTGTACTCTGTTTTGTGATTCTGTGGCTGGGACTCTGCAAACCTTAGCTGCTTTCCTATTAGGATCTATGTTAATTAAGGTACACTAGAGGGAGACTTCTGGAGGAAGATAAGGGACAGGCTCCTGCTTGTCTGCTTCCTATTTCTGCTAGTGAACAGGCTAACATACCACCCAGATAAGCCACTCCTAAGTTCTCAACTGCACAAACTATGAGATAATAAATGTTTATTGTTTTAAATTACTAAGTTACACAGCAGTAGATAACTAATACACAGAGGATACAGAAACAAGCAAACAAAAATTTGTGACAAGCACTATTTATAACAGTGAGGTTGAGGTTCTACAGGTACACACAGAAGGAACCTCAGCCTTCTCTAACTGGAGAAGAACTCAGTTAGAGTTCTCCAGATAAACACAGCCATAAGGTATATAAGGGCACACAGTATTCTAGGATCTGCTCAGAGCAAGTGGGGAAAAGGAACAAACTAGGAAGATAAATGGGAGTGGGCAGAGACCATGACTTATCTTTATATTTTCTTCATAAAATATTAATAAGTTACTGTTAATCTTTAGTGAATATTGTAAATATAGAAGCCAACTATTAGGACAGCATTTTTGGAATGGTGAAATAAGAAACTTGGCAAATCCTCTCCCAGAAATAACTGGACAAAATCATCAAAAACAATATTTGCAAAACTCTGAAAAGCAACCAAAGGTATACAATAAATCAAACAACACTTATTTAAGAAAAATGACTGAATTTTGATTAGAAGAATGGAATCTCTGTGATTTTAACTTGGGGCTGCTCCCATTCCACTCCCAGCTCTATAGAGTGGTAGCCATGAGGAATGGTAGCTTGCTGAAAGTGGAAGAGACTGATCAGATTTAGAGCTCCACAGAAAATTCCTATGCTCTGGAATGATTTCAAAAACAATAGAAATCAAGAGATGACTTCCAGCAAAAATGTGAGAAGCTCTGTGGACCCTCTCCCCAGTGGAACAATCATAATTGATGCACATTATAAAACAAACAATGATTTAAAGTCTTTGGAAATTATCCCAAGGGCATACAGCAAATGAATAAACATTTTTTGAAGAAAATCTTCTATATCTCAGTTAGAATGGAAAAAGACTGGAAATTGAGCCACAAAATCCTTCCATCTTCTCTTTCCAAGCCCACAAGTTAGCATGACAAAGCTCTACTCTGGCAGGTGCAATCAAGAAGACTTCATCTTCCCTGACTTGTCAGTCAAGAATATCTTACCTGAAGGGTAAGATATCCCTTTTCATTCCTTCCAGTTGTGTGTTGCAGAGGTTCTATTCTACCCAAGAATGGCTTAGAAGTCCTGGACTCTCTTTCTCTACCCAGCCCCTACTTATAGAGCAGAAGCACTTTTCTAGGTTTGATGGACTGAGAATACCAAGCTCCAATTATTCTCACTTCAGCTCACTGGCTGAGTGTCACCCTGAGAAATGGGCCACTGTCACTGACTTCAGTTCTGGAGCAATGGCAGAAGTTTTGCCCAGGAAGAGAGGCAGGTCATAGCAACAGAATGCTCCACATATTTTTTCCAAGGGCACTGACTTTATTTGGAGCAGTCTGAAGGGAATTTCAGTCCTAAAAAAAACTCTTCCAAAGATAATGGAGATATTGGTTGTAGGCAATTATGCCTAGTGTTCCATTATTGGAACACTAAGCATGTGGGAGTTATTTATATCCTACTGCTTGCAGTCATCCTGAAGGTCTGATTGCAAAAATTCAAAACATTGCAACCTCAGGGATAAATGGGTTAAGAGCAAGCTGGCAGCTCCTTGACAGTAACAAGCAAAACCATAAACCAACTAATTTACCAGAGGAAACTGCACAAAGACATAGCTAGGTAGAGCCCTATAGAATTAGAACAAACCTCAAAGACTGGTCTCAAAAACTGCCCCTCAAAGGAGTCTATATTTAATTTAATTAGACCATAGAGCAGTTTATGCCCCAGGACCTTGTGGGGAACAATGGAGCAATCAGCCAGGAATTAGTAGAGGCTATCCATTAGGTATGATAACAACAGATGGAGAGAGCTTAGAGAAATCAAAATAAGACATGGTCAAAGAGAGCCTTGATAAAATCACTGTTATCCCAAGATGATTGTGTGCATGCCCAAGCCTTTACTTTCTGAGGAGCAATATCAGAGACTATGCACTTCTGGAGAAATAGACTACTAAAATAGCCCAGCCCAATTACTAAACAAACAAGCAGGCCAAGCGCAGTGGCTCACCTCTGTAATCCCAGCACTGAAGTGGCCCTTGTGGTAGGATCCCTTGAGGCTAGGAGTTGGAAATCAGCCTGGGAAACAGCAAGACATCATCTCTACAAAAAATTAAAGAAGTAGCCAGGCATAGTGGTGCACACCTGTGGTCCTAGCTACTTAGGAGGCTGAGGCAGGAGGATCACTTGAACCCAGGAGTTCAAAGTTACAGTGAGATATGACTGTACCACTGCACTCTAGCCTGGGCAACAGAGTGAGACTGTGTCTCTATAAATAAATAAATAAAAGTAAAACAAGCAAACAACAACAACATCAAGTTCCATAGAGTGGAGATCAGTATATAAATTTGCTATAATATTTTATCTGAAATATTCAGTTTTCAACAAAAATTATAAGACATGCAAAGAAACAGGAGAGAATGACTCACGAACAGGAGAAAACGCAGGCAATGGAAACCGCCTCTGAGAGGGCCAAGTTGTCAAACCAAGTCAGACAAAGACTGCAAGATAGCCAATATAAATATGTTCAAGGAATTAAAGGAAGCCCTGCTTAAAAAAAGAAAGGAAATTATTATGGCAATACCCCATCAAGGAGAGATTGTCAATAAGGACAAATATATATATATAAAAATATAAATATATACATAAATATAAATATATATATAAATATATATAAACAAAAATATCAAATTGAAATTCTGGAGTTGAAAAGTACAATAACTGATATGAAAAGTTAACTAGTGATACTTAACAGTAGATTTGAACTGTCAGAAGAAAGAATCAGCAAACTTGAAGGTAGATCAGTAGAGATTATGCAGTCTAGAGAACAGAGAGAAAAATAATAAGAATATAAATAGATCTTTAGAGAAATACGGTACAAATTTAAGCACAGCAGTTGAAATGTAATAGAGGAATTAGGAGAGGATAGGGAGAAAGGACCAGAAAACAATGGAAGAAATAATGGCTGAAAATTCCTCAAATTTAATGAAGAACATTAATCTATATATCCAAGATACTTAATAAAGTACAAGTACAATAGTGTAAGGAAATCCACACCCAGACACATCATAGTAAAAATGAAAGTCAAAGTCAAATTAGAAATCTGGAAAGCAGCAAGAGGAAAATAATTTATAACATACCAGGTAACCACAATAAGACTAACAACTGACTTTTCTTTAGAAACAGTGGCACCAGAAGGCAGTAGGATGACATATTCAAAGTGCTGAGAGAAAAAAATAGAATAAGCCTGTCAACAGAGTGTTTTATCTAGCAAAACTGTCTTTAAAAGTGAAGAGGAAAAAGAGAAATTCTCAGATAAACAAAACTGAGAGCATTCATAGCCAACAGATCTGTTTTACAAGAAATAGCAAGGAGAATTCCTCAGTTTGAAAACAAGTGACCACGGACAGTAATTTGAATACACAAACAGACACACACACTATATTAGTCTGTTCTCACACTGCTATAAAGACATACCTGAGACTGGGTAATTTATAAGTAAAAGAGGTTTAATCGGCTTATGTTTCTGTAGGCTGTACAGGCTTCTACTTCTAAGGAGGCCTCAGAAAACTTACAATCATGGTGAAGGCAAAAGGGAAGCAAGCACATCTTCACATGGCTGGTGGGAAAGACATAGAGAGAAGGAGGAGGTGCTACACACTTTGAAACAACCAGATCTCATGAGAACTCTAGTACAAGAACAGCAAGGGGGAAGTCCACCCCCATGATTCAATCACTTCCCACCAGATCCCTCCTCTAACACTGGGAATTACAATTCAACAGGAGATTTGGGTGGGGACACAGAACCAAACCATATCACACACAAAAAGCAACTATAGAACATAAAAACCATGAATAATAAGAATCTACTGTGCAAGTTAATTGCTAGAACAATCCCTAAATTTTTTCAAAATATACAGCAATAATTAAAGGAATTAAGATGTTACACTAGAAAATATTCATTTAATGCAAAATAAATCAGTAAAGGAAGAACAGAGAAAAAAAGATGCAAAGGGCGTATTAAAAACAAAGGTAAAATAACTATTTTAATGATAATACTTAATGTGAATAATGGATTAAACAATCCAATCAAAAGGCAGAAATTGCCAGACTGGTTAATGGGACAAGATCCAACTAACATATACTGCCTACAAGACACATACTTTACATTTAATGATACAAGCAGTTTGAAAGTAAAAGGATGGAAAAAAGGTATCATTCAAACAGCAATAATATGAAAGATGAGGTGGACAAAATAGACTTTAAAAGCCATAATGTCACCATGGATAATGAGGAACGTTTTCTAATGTTAAAAGTGTCAATACATCAGGGAGATATAACACTGAGAAAAATATAAGCATTTAACAATATAGACCTAACATATATAAACGAAAACCTACAGAATTGAAAAAAGAAATAGACAATTCAACAATAATAGTTAGAGACTTCAATATCATATTTTCAATAATGATTAGAACAACTAGACAGAATAACAGTAAGAAAAAACTCCAAAATTATAAGCCATCTAGACCACACAGATGTCTATAGAACATTCTGCCCAACAACAACAGAAAACATATTCTTCTCAAGTACACATGGAACATTCTCTAGGATAGACCACATACTATGCCATAAAACAAGCCTATATATATATTATATATATAACATATATAGTATATATAAAATAATTGAAATCATGCGAAGTATGCTCTGTGGCTATATGGAATGAAATTAGAAATTGGTAATGAAAATAAATTTGGAAAATTCACAAATATATAAAATTAAACAACACACTACTAAATAATCAAGGTGTCAAAGAAGAAATCACAAGGGAAATCAGAATACACTTTCAGATGAATGAAAATGAAGGTATAACAAACCAAAACTTATGGGATAAAGATAAAGTAGTTATTAGATGGAAATTTGTGGCTGTTCACACCCATATTAAAAAAGAAGAAAGATCTCAAATCAATAACCTAACTTTTCACCTAAGGACACTGGAAAATGTAGAGCAAACTAAGCATAAAGCAAGCAAAATAAATAAAATATAAAAATCAGAGCAGAAAAATAGAGAATAGAAAAACAGGACAGAAAAATCATTGAAACCAAAAAAAAGTCCTTTCAAAAGACCAATAAAATTGACAAACCTGTAGCTAGAATAACTCAGAATAAAAGAGAAAACTCAAATTACTAAAATCAGGAATAAAAGAGAAAAAATCCCTATTGTGAAAGAAAATAGAATCTCAGGACCCCTAACTCTCTATGCCAAAGAGAAAGTTAAACTTGGGAATTGAGTCATGCAATACTGCTTTCCTTTTGTTCCCAAAGAGCTGTAATTTCATAACTCTATGTGAGAGCCTCATCCATAAACCAGGTTCCCACAAAGATAGGAAGCCACATATCTCCCCAGATAGCCTCCCTCAAATTGCTCATGAGGAAATTCTTTGTGAATTCCTAAATCCTTCAGGATACACATCTCTCCTACAAACTAGCCCAAAACCAGAATTCTGTTAAATCTCACCATGACAATGTCATTTATCAGCTTATCTTCACAAGTACAGGATAAAGACAAAACTAGAAATCACCCCAAAGATGATGATGGGATTAGTGGAGATTAAAAATTTCAAAAGGAGAGAAGGGGCCTCCAGGGGCTGGTGGACATTGTTTAAAAACAAACAAACAAACAAACAAACAAACAAACAAACAAGTGAACAAAACCTGCTAAGGAATTAAAATGCCTTAGTAGTCTTTTATTTAAAAAATTCATGCATATGTTGCATTTCCTACAATGGTATGCTGAAGTTCATACCAACAAAAATGTTTAAAATTATTTGCCAACCAAATAACCTTAATTTTCTCTTGAAAAATCATTAAATAAAAATAACACAATGGGAAAAATGTGCTTCAGTAATTGTGATGTGGCTCAGACACACATTTATCATCAAGTGTCTATGGAGCTGAATAATTTCACTTAGCTACATAAAGACTAGATTCCACATTAGGAGAGAATCCTATTGTATGTGGTCAAAGTTGTTAGCACTTTAAAATGGATTTTAGAGCCATAGTATGTTTTATGCAAACCTCATGGCAACCACAAAGAAAAAACTTGTAGTAGATAACATGAAAGATAAGGAGGAATCAAAACATACCACCACAAAAAAAAAATCAAATCACAAAAGAAGACAACAAGAGAGAAAGAACGACACAAAGTAACTACAAAGCAGTTAGAAAACAATGAACAAAACTGTTCAACAAAGAAAAGACAGGACCTGATGGCTTCTCTCATGAATTCTAGTAAACATTAAAGAAGAAATAATGCCAACTCTTCCCAAACTCTTCCAAACAATTGAAGTAAAGGGAATACTTTCAAATTCATTTTAGATGACCAGCATTGTCCCGATATCAAAGCCAGACAAGGACGCTAGGAGAAAAGATAATTATAGACTATCATCCCTAATGAACATAGATGCAAAAATCCAAAACAAAATACTAGCAAACAAAATTCAATAGCACATTGAAAGAATGATTCACCATAATCAAGTGAGATTTATCCCTTGGATGCAAGGATGGTTCAACATACACAAATCTATACATGTAATCCATCATATTAACAGAATGCAGGATAAAAATCATATCATCTCAATAGATAAAGAAAAAGGATTTGACAATATTCAATGTCTTTTCATGAGAAAAAAACTCTAAAAAATTGAGTATAGAAGGATTATTAGAAGGATTATACTCCAACACAATAAACACTATATATGACAAACCCACAACTAATATCATACTCAATGGTGAAAATCTAAAGGCTTTTCCTTTAAGATGAGGAATAAGAGGATACCCACTCTTGCCATTGAATTCAACATAGTACTGGAAGTCCTAGCCAGAATGGTTGGGCAAGAGAAAGAAATAAAAGGCATCCAAATAAAAAATGAAGTAAAATGGTTTCTGTTTGCCAGTGACAGGAGCTTATATATAGAGAACTCTAAAGACTCCACCAAAAAACTGTTAGAACTGTTGAACAAATTCAGTAAAGTTGCAGGATACAAAATTCACTGCAGAAATACATAGATTTTCTATACGCTAACAATAAACTATCTGAAAAAGAAATCAAGAAAACAATTTAATTTAATATAGCATAAAAAAAACCCTTAGGAATTAATTTCATGAAGTAGGGAAAAGATCTCTTCATAGAATGATATCCTGTGTTCATGGATTAGAAAAATTAATATTGTTAAAATGTCCATACTGCCCAAAACATTCTACAGATTTAACGTCATCTTTATCAAAATTCCAATGGACTTTCTAACAGAAATAAAAGTAATAATTCTGAAACTTACATGGAACCACAAAAGACCGCAAATAGCCAAACCAATCTTGACCAATAATATCAAAGCTGGAAATATTAAACTACCTGATTTCAAAATCTACTGCAAGCTCTAGTAATCAAAACAGCATGGTATGGGCATAAAAACAGACACATAGAAGAATGGAACCAAATAGAGACCCCAGAAATAAATCCACATGTTTACAGTCAACTGATTTTTGGACAAAGGTGCCAAAAGCACACAATGGAGAAAAGACAGGCTTTTCAATAAATGGTGCTGACAGAACTGCATATCCACATGTGGAAGAATGAAACTAGAACCTTATCTCACAACATATAAAAAAAATCCAACTGAAAATGGATTAAAGACTTAAACATAGGACCTGAAACTGTAAAACTGCTAGAAGAAAACATAGGGAAAAATCTCTTTGATATTGGTATGGTCACTGAGGTTTTTTTGATATGACTCCAAAAGCACAGGCAACAAAACAAAAAATAGACAAAATGAGATTACATCAAACTTAAAAGCTTCTGTACTGCAAGGGAGACAATTAACAGAATGAAGAGACAACCTACGAAATGGGAAAAAACATTTGCAAACCATACATCTGATAAGGAATTAATATTTAAATTAAATATAAAAGAACTCAAATAAGTTAATAGTAAGAAAATGAATAATCCAATTAGAAAATTGGAAAAGGAGCTGAATAGATATTTCTTAGAGAAGACATTCTAATGGCCAAGAGGTATATGAAAAAAATGTCAAGCCTCACTAATCATCAGGAAAATGCAAATTAAAACTACAATGAGAGATTACCTCATACCTGTTAGTATGGTTATTATCAAAAAGACGAAAGATAAGTGATGGTGAGGAGAGGGAGAAAGGGAATACTTGTACACTTTTGATGGGAATGTAAATTAGTACAGCCATTTTGGATAACAGTATGGAGATTACTCAACAAATTTAAAATGGAAATACTGTATGATCCAGCAATCCCGCTAATGGGTATATATCCAAAGGAAAAGAAGTCAGTATTTAAGAAGATATCTGCACTCCCATGTTAATTGCAGCAATATTCACAGTAGCCAAGACATGGAAACAACGTTAAGTATGCATCAACAGATGAACTGATAAAGAAATTGTGTCATATATACACATAAACAGTTGGGTGTTGCTCAGCCTTAAAAAAGAAGGAAATCTTGCCATTTGCAACAACATGGGTGAACCTGGAGGACATTATGCTGGGTAAAATGGGCCAATCACAGAACACGGAAAGATAACTATTGCATTATCTCATTTACATGTGAAATCTAAAAATGTCAAATTCATATAAATAGAGTAGAATCGTGGTTGCTGAGGGTCTGGTCAGGGAGAGGGGCAAATAGGGGATGTTGGTCAGAAGACTCAAGGTTTTACTTTACACAGGATGAATAAGTTCTAGAGATTTATTGTACAGCATTGTGTCTATAGTTAATAATACTTTATTGCATACTTGAAAATTGCAAAGAGACTAGATCTTAAGCGTTCTCACCACACAAATAAAAATAACCATGTTAGGTGATGGATATGTTAATTAGCTTGATTGTAGTAATCACTTCACAATGTCTGCATACATCAAAACATCACATTATACACTGTAAACACATACATTTTTTATTTGCGAACTGTACCTCAATAAAGTTGAAAAACAATTCTGGACACTATTATAACTGTCATAACACTGCAGCACAAGGCAGAGGAGAAGAACATGTCTTATAAGGAGTGGGGAAGAATTGGCAGGATCCATATCTTTTTTCTTTCAATAAATTTCTTTAAAAATTATCTACCGAATCTCTGTGCCAATCTCCAATATGCTGTGATTACAGTTCTGATATCCATGCTGTTATATAGACATGGAGGGATATATGGTGGCTAGAGGTGCTGGCTTAGATGCAAACAAACAAATGCTATGTGTATATAAATATACACATATCTATGAAGTATACACATGTATATATCCATATTTATATCTAGATAGCTATCATCTATCTATATCTGTATATAGAGATCTATATCTAGACACTCTCATGCAGAGCAATGCATACTGAGTGTGGCCCGTGTGTTATGGTGGTAGCAGGGCCACCTGGCAGGTAGTTGCAGTGTGACCACTGAAAATCCTTAGTGTCATGAGACCTACATCCACAGAATTTGCTCTTTTGGATTCTCTTACCTTGTTACATATTCAAGTTGCAGTGAGATTTAGACCTGTGGCTGTTCCTCTTATGGCCTGAGATTGAATTTAAATCATCGCTGTGGGACTGCTTGATGTATGCAATGGTTTAGAGCAAGAGAAAGTTTACAAAGAAAGCACTCCAAAAATTGAGAGGACCCAGCTGAATCAATTCTCAGGCCTTCAGGAACCGTGGACTCAGGGCTTCTGTTTTTCTTCTTTCTGATTTTTCAGTTACTTTTCCTGCTACTGTGGAGGTGACTAATCCTACGTGAAAACCATACAAAGGCATGAGCAAGGGAAGAGCACTCTGTCTATAAACACGTAAAGCCTTAACCAAAGGTGACTCAGTGCTGCAATTAGATGTCCAGTCTCTAAAAACAAACTTCAGAGCTTCCTCATGGCTTTTTCCTTCTGGCTCTGTGGTGTGGGTTGGGCAGGAACAGATCATAATAAGGGAGGTTTATGATTCCAGCTGGCACGCTGTGGCCACAAATAGGATGTCAGCTTTTGATCAATGAAGCTCATAGGGAAACTCCAACCCTAAGATAAATGCAAAGACTGCTTTAATCAAGGAGAGTCTCTGGACACTATAATTCCTGTGAGAACACGAGAAGATGGTGGAGAAAATACTCATCCATAGGTGTGGTACTTTCCAACTCTTACTGCCAAGCTAACGTCAGGGAAGGGAGGGGAGAACTATAGACCATTTGGTGTTTTTCAAATGGTGTGATGCAACCCTTTAGAGGATAGTAAAATCGTTTTATTTGGGCATAAAAATACTTTTAAAATGGAATACAATTCAATGGAATAAAACAGTAACTAGAAAAAAATCACAGTGCATTGTGTGCAGTGTAGATAGTATTGTTTTATGAGAGTTTTGGGGCGTGTATGTGTGTGTGTGTGTTTGTGTGTATGCATTCATGTGTCCTGAGTTGGATTTGGTATGATGTTTTTTTTCTGGGGTGGGGGGGTTGTTTGTTTTTATTTTTTTTACTATGGGTCCTGGTCAAAAATGTTTGGTAAAGATTGCCATAATTTAGCTCTTTGCCACATACTTTTGGGATTCTGGGTTTTAAAAACTAACACTGAAATTCTAACCACTCAACACTGAGTTTTTTAAAGACTGTAACTTTCACTCTTTTTGGCAGTGTTTATCAACTGCTTTGGCTTGAGGAGATAACATGGGGTGGCAACAAGCTGCCTAAAAAAGTAAATGGGTGGTTTATAATGAAGCTCTTGAGGCAGATAAGACCAGGGAGAGAGGGTACCAGACAACATGTGTGTGCGTGTGTGTGTGTGTGTGTATCAGAGAGAGAGATTTAGAGACCAGGATTCACTAGAGGACACGGTGGGGGTGGGGTGGGGGTGGGGGTACTGTTTTTTCTGGTAAATAATCTAAAACCTTGTTGTCCATGCTGAGACCTCGACAAGAAAACAGGTTCCAGTATGTGATATGATTCGAAACCCAAAGAATTAACCTGAGTATCAGAAACCAGGAGTCCTTCTAGGAGTTTTGTTCCCTGCCTCAGGGAAACACTTTGTTTCTGATTGACAATAGAAGATATAAAGGAACTTTTGGAAAACCCAGGATAACATCACCTTGTTCTGGAAATTACTGAAGAGGAACCAAAGTGTACGGAGCCATGTCGTACTTATTTGATTTAATGTGATTATTTCTCCTGTCCTTTCTTATAGGATACTCACTTTGTTTCCAAATGCCATAGCTCGAAAATTACTGCTGATGTTGACATTTATCTTAATTTTCTGGATCATTTACTTGGCTTCAAAAGACCACACAAAGGTAGGAAGTTTCATTTTTAAGAATTTCACAGAAGGTCACGGTGACTTCATTTGAATGACCCCCTTTATCATGGCAAGAAATAAAAGTTAAAAGCATATCATCTTAGCAGGAGAATGTGGATCAGGGGTTCACTGTTCAGCATAAATCCCTTTGGCAATGCATATATTATTATTACTATTTTAAATGGCAATGTATACATTATTATTGTTTTTCTTTAAAAAATGGCAGATGGATTTGTGCCATCTCTGTACTAGTTGGCACTGTAACCATCCTGCGTCAAAATTCTCTCCTCCTCCCTTGGCCTCTGAGATTTCAAACTAATTAAGTTTCTGTTTCAGTCCTCTGCCTTCTTCACAGGGGTTTTCTTATTCTTTAAGTAGTTTAGTGTCTCCTGGCTCTTCCCTTTGTAAGTTTTTCTTAACTCACCTTGCTTCCAGTTTCTTTTCTTCCCAACCATTTAGTACAAACATAATCTTTCAGAAACTCTGCTTTTATCATCTTCTGGTCCTGATCAAATACTTTCACCACTGACAGTATAAAGAACAAATTCCTTTGTTTAGCCATTCGAGGCCCGTTTACATTTGAACCCAACTACCTTTAAAAGTGTCTTTCTAACCTTTGTCTAACACAGACTTACCTCCAAGCTTCAAACAAGAAGCACCACAGTCTAGGGCATTCAGCCGGTAATATGAACTGGTTAAAAAAAGCCTTCAGAGCACAGCTCAGAAGGTTTCTTTTCCTGGGCCCTCTCTATAAATATGTGTTCTCTAGATTTCTTCCTCTGATCCTCTTCTCTTCTATGCTTGTACCTTTTAATTCATTTGCCCAGGTCCTACCCACTACCAATATTAGTGTTTCACAAAGTGAAGTCTGGGAGCCTTCTGCCCAGAATACCTGTTCTTATACCTGTGTGTAAAATGCAGATTCCTGAGCCATACTCAGAACTACTGAAATCTCAGTTTGAGCCTAAGATTACAAAGTATTAACAAGCTCCTCAGTTTATTCTTAAGCATGCTAACATTTGAGAATCTCTGCTATGTCCTTCCAAAAGTGAAACCTCTTTCCAGCCCCACTCTTGAATATGTGCTATTCATTGGATATCTCCATCTAAGTCTTCCACTAGCACTACCAAAACAAAAAACACACACACCAAATTTATCATCTGTCTCACCATCATCCCCTAACAAAAACAAAACAAGCATACAAAATCAAATGGAAACAAATTCTCTACTTTTATCTCTCCAGTCTTAATAATTGTTGCCATAGCCTGTGTAGTCAATCAAGCTAAAACTCCCTCCACAAGCTGATCAGCCACTAAGTCTTATAAATCCTACCTCCAAAATGTCTCTCAAGTCTATCCTTTTTTTCTCCATCCACATTGTCTTTCTTTAGACCGATACTTTGTCATTGCTCATCTAAATTGTTGAAATAGTTTTCCAATTAATTTCCCTGCCTCCAGTCTCAGCCTGCTCTAAGCACTCATTCAAAAAACCTTTGTTAAATGTATATTGTGTGTCAGGCACTGGTCTAGGAATTAAAGATACAGAAATACAGGATATCATGTTTGTGTTCAAGAATCTGAAATTTTATTTCTAAAATGAAAATGTGAATATGGTACTCTACCTTCAGCAGCTCCTCATGTAGCATGTGTATGGCCCAAATGCCTTGGCACAGTGTTTTATTGGACTCATTTAAATAAAGGGCACAGAAACTCACTAGGCCTGGTCCAAGACATCCTTGCACTGGCTGTTTTCTTTTTCTTCCCTTTCTCCAGGTTTTCATGTAACTTCCACGTAGTTCTTACTTCCTTCAAGTCTTTTTCATCTTCTTGATTTAACACCAGACACATCCCCACTCCCACCTCTTAGCATTCCCCTTACTCTGTTTGATTTTTTTAACATAACGATTATAATTATTACTGATAACAGGCATTAAGTCATATCAGAATTATAGGAGTTTCCCGTAATTTTGGAATACATGCCAATAACATATTTATACAAATATAGCCCAAAGGAAACCAAACACCATTTTATATTTGACAATGCTTCCTGTATAATTTTTATACCAAATAAGCTACACACGTCATTTTTGGACTATAGGGAACCTATTAGTAATATCTTAAAGGATTAATAAGGTCAGAAAAAGACATAATTTATAATTTGATTTTGGAAAGTTTGTCAAATATCAAAGGTTTAAAACACTTGATATTACAAAATAGGATCACAGGTCATTGTAAAATAAATCATTCATTTAACCAAAGTGATAACTCAAGGATTTTCTTAAAAAGGCAAAACCTTCATTCTATGAGAGAGGAGACTTAATTTTCCAAACAATAAGCCCTAATAAAAACAACAAGAAGCCTATTAAATTTATTTTCCAAAATTGTATAAACAATCTATAACATTTTCATCCTGATCATAAGATATAACTTCTGTAAGTCTTTATAACCTTTATGAAGGAGTAGGTTAATGCTTCAAGAAAACCTTGTTAATCTGACATAGGGGCCCACATGCTGGTCTCGCATCAGTGTGCTTTTGACATTAATGATTAATTTATAAAGAAAGTGAACTTACTTTATCTTTTAAAGTTGGCCCTTACAATCTCATATGCCCACCTCTTCCAAGATAGTCCCTGGGCCTTGAGGAGTTGAATGGCTTTAATTTCTGGCCCTGTGTCTCAGGAATGCAGTTAATTTTGATTGGCATCTTCTACCAGGCCTGAAGATGAGGCTTTAATTGCTGTCAGAGCTTAAGTTTAGCAGGACTTGGTGTTCTTTTTAGACCCAGAAGTCAAAGCCCTGTAGCTCAATGTCACAAGGACTTTAAAAGCACATACAGGAAGATGCAAGGAAGTAATAACGTTAATTAAAATTTTTTTATTCTCAATTTTTCCTGAGCAAACCAAACTTAATAATAATGCATAGGAATTATTTTGATAAAACTTAAAATCTGTTAGTCCAGTTACCAAAAGGCAAAAGAGAAGACCTTTTGTAGTGCACAGAATATTATGTTGGAAGAAGACATTTCCTTTAGACCTTTAAGAAAACATTGCTAGCATAAGGCCACAAGAAACAGAACCTGAGGAGGAAAAAAAAAAACTTATAGGAACTGAAAATGAGTTGAAGGGTATTGTTACTATTTCATGTTTTTTAAAAGGGGAGAGAAAACCAAAACCCGTGAGATGCAATAAAAGTTGAACTTTGGGTTAAAATAAAAAAATTAAAATATCTTATAATTTATTAAAATTAAATAAACCCCTTAAGAAAATTTCATTGTTCTAACCAATTCTATTATTCAGCGTATAAGTGGTTTTTTAAATATAAAACCTGATCTATAGAAAGACCATTATAATTTCCCTTTAATCATAGAGAACTAGATCTTATAAAAGTTTTTGAGTTTTTTAAAATAAATCCTCTTATTGTCACTTACACAGGCTGTTCATGACTTGCTTGGACTTTCTGGTTTGTTCTGAACATCCCTTTTCCTTTAACAGCCAGTCATTTTACTCTAGGACTAAATTTACCATACAATTCTTTCTTGTTTGAATTATTTTTTGTAATAGTACTTTTCACTTTCTAAAATAATATATGATTTACTCATTTATTATGTTCATTGATTATTGTCTATCCTTACCTAGTATATAGTAACCTTTATAGAGTCAAAGTTTTTTTTTTTTTTGAGATGGAGTCTTGCTCTGTCACCAGGCTGAAGTGCAGTGGCACGACCTCGGCTCACTGCAACCTCCGCCTCCTGGGTTCAAGTGATTCTCCTGCCTCAGCCTCCCGAGTAGCTGGGATTACAGGCGCGTGCCACCAGGTCCAGCTAATTTTTGCATTTTTAGTAGACATGGGGTTTCACCATGTTGGCCAGGATGGTCTTGATCTCTTGAACTCATGATCTGCCCTCCTTGGCCTCCCAAGAGTCAAAGATTTTTATAAGTGTTTATTGGTATCACAAGTGCCTAGAACAGTCTCTGGTACATAGTAGATACTTAATAAATAACTGGTAAATAACAAAATAAAGAAAGACTGTTCAGTGATCTGGGTGAGAGGTAATGGTGGCCTGAAATAAGCTACTAACAATAAAGATGGAGAAAAGTCAATGAATTTGGCCTATAATTGACAGTAATAGTGATTGACTGTGGGAGGTAAAGAGGTAGGTTTAACCAGGAGTTACATGTTACATTCCAGGTTTGTACAACTGCATGGCTGTTGATCTCATTCACTGAAGTATTGACCAGAATAGGAGAAATAGTTAGAAGACAAAAGATGGGTTTAGGTATGAATAGTCTAGGTTTGAGGTCCTTTTAGGTCAACCAAGTGGAGATGTTGAATATATAGATCTGAAGCTGGGAAAGATCTGGCTTAGAAAAATAGATTTAGGAGGCCAGGCCCGGTGGCTTATGCCTATAATCCAAGCACTTTGGGAGGCCGAGGCGGGCAGATCACAAGGTCAGGAGATCGAGACCATCCTGGCTAACACGGTGAAACCCCATCACTACTAAAAATACAAAAAATTAGCTGGGCGTGGTGGTGGGCGCCTGTAGTCCCAGCTACTCGGGAGTCTGAGGCAGGAGAATGGCATGAACCTGGGAGGCAGAGCTTGCAGTGAGCCGAGATCACACCACTGCACTCCAGCATGGGCAACAGAGTGAGACTCCATCTCAAAAAAAAGAAAAGAAAAAAAAATAGATTTAGGAAACATCGGAATACAAATGGCAGCTGAAGTCATTGTAGTCTGTGACATTTCCTTGGATGAAGTATAAAGCAAGAAGAAAAAGTTGCTAGTGATATAATCCTGAGGAACAAAATAAGCACTTGGCTGAGGAGTTAGTGGTAGTGGAGAAAGTGCACATGGGAAGGAAGAGGACCCTTGAGAAACTTAATTGGTAGGGGTGGGGAATAGGTGAAGGTTAGAACAGCAATTAAAGGGGGAATCAGAGGCTCCAAAAATTTTCCTTTTTGTAATATGGGAGATACTTGAATGCATTTTAATTCATATGGAAAAAGGCTAATAGAAGAAAGGAGGAAATAGGAAAGAGAAGGTGTGGTTACACATGTTTGGCAGTGTGACAGGAAGTTGAATGGCTAAGTGATTACTCTTACAGTTCTCTAAAGCCAAGAAGCTTCAGGAACACAGAAATTTAGGTATTGGAGGAACTGCCTCCATGGATATTGAAGTCTACCTGGAGGATGTCAAGACTTTTAGTGATTAAGACTAGGAGCCAAGTTCTTCATGATCTTCTATAAATGAGTAAAAGAATCCAGTTGGTCAAAAAGTGACAGAGAAGAGGAGGATTATGTAGTAATTGGTGATAGTTGGTCAGATATATCATGGAGAACAAGATATCTTAGGGTCTTCTGAAAAAATATATATCCCTTAATATATATAAATCTTCAAAATATATATATTTGAAATGTGTGTGCATATGTGTATAAAACCCTGGTTTTAGTCCATTCAAGCTGTTCTAAAAGAATACCACTGACGGAATGGCTTACAAGCAATATAAATTTACTGCTGACAATTCTGGAAGCTGCAAAGTCCAAGATCAAGGCATCAACAGATTTGGTGTCTGATGAGGGACTGCTTCCTTGTTCATGGATGGGTATCTTTTCATGTGTACTTACATGGTGGAATGGGCAAAGGAGCTCTCTGGGGTCCTTTTTGTAAAGGCACTAACTTTATTAATGAGGGCTCCATTCCCATGATCTAATCACCTCCCTAGAAGTCCCATCTCTTAATACCATCACATTGAAAGTTAAGTTGTAACATACAAATTTGGGAGAACCACAAATATTCTATCTATAGCAACATTGGAGATTAGGTTACAACATGAATTTTGGGGAGATGCAAGCATTTAGTCTATGGCAATTCTAGTGTGTGTATGTGTGTGTGTGTTTAACAGGTTATTAAATAATGAGACAACTGGGCCTCACATGAAATTGAGCATTAAATGCTGATCTTGTCCCTGCTACTACTATTTTAAAGAGACTTTCCTCCTTCTATGCCTAATTTTAAGGGTCTAGCACAAAACTTTTTGTTTTTCCTTGCTCACATTTGTGTCTCGTATGTTGCATAATTCTACTACATAATATTCTTGACATGACAAAATCATAGAAATAAATAACAGATACATGTTTGCCAGAGGTTAACTAAGGAATGGGAGAGGGTGAGGGAAAAGTAAGCTTGGTTAAAAAACGGCAACATGAAGGAAAGGAAATGTTCTGTATCTTGACTATATCAGTTTCAATATGCTGGTTGCAATATTTTGCTAGTTTTGCAAGATGTTACCATTGAAAAAAACTCCGTAAAGGGTACATGAGATTTCTCTATAATTTATTTTTTTCTAAATACTTTTATAATTTTTAAAATTTTAGATTTAGGGAGTACATGTGCAGGTTTCTTATATGGGTATATTGCATGATGATGTGGTTTGGGCTTCTAATGCTCCCATTGCCCAGTAGTGAACATAGTACCCAATAGGTAGTTTTTCAATCCTTGCCATCCTCCCTCCCTGCTTTTGGAATCCCCAGTGTTTATTGTTCTCATCTTTGGGTCCATGTGTATCCAACGTTTAGCTCTCACTTATAAGTGAGAACATGTGGTATTTGGTTTTCTGTTTCTGTGTTAATTCATTTAGGGTAATGTCCCCCAGCTGCATCCATGTTGCTACAAAGGACATGATTTTGTGCTTTGTTTTGGCAGTGTAGTATTCCATGGTGTATATGTACCATATTTTCTTTATTCAATCCACCATTGTTGGGCACCTGGGTTGATTCCATGACTTTGCTATTGTGAATAGCACTACAATAAACACACAAGAACAAATGTCTTTTTGGTAGAACAATTTATTTTCCATTGGGTATATACCCAGTAATGGGATTGCTGGGTTGAATGGCAATTATATTTTTAGTTATTTGAGAAATCTTCAAACTGCTTTTCACAATGCCTGAACTAATTTACAGTCCCACCAACAGTATGTAAGCAATTCTTTTTCTCTGCAACACTGCCAACATCTGTTATTTTTTGACTGTTTAATAGTAGCCATTCTGACTGGTGTGAGATGGTACCTCACTGGAGTTTTGATTTGCATATCTTTAATTACTAGTGATGTTGAGCATTTCTTATGTTTGTTGGCCATGTGTATGTCTTTTGAGAAGTATCTGTTAGTGTCCTTCACCTACTGTTTACTGGGACTATTTGTGTTTTTCCTGTTGATTTGTTTAAGCTCCTTATAGACTCTTGACAGCAGTCCTTTGTTGAATACATTGTTTGTAAATATTTTCTACCATTCTGTAGCTTGTCTGTTTGTTCTGTTGATAGTTTGTTTTGCTGTGGAGAAGCTCTTTAGCTTAATTCAGTCCCAATTTTTAATTTTTGTTTTTGTTACATTTGCTTTGAGGGCTTAGTTATAAATTCTTTGCCTGGGCCAATGTCTAGAAGAGTATTTCCCAAGTTTTCTTCTAGGATTTTTATAGTTTGAGGTCTTATATTTAAGTCTTTAACCCATTTTGAGTTAATTTTTCTATATGTTAAGAGGCGGGGGTCCAGTTTTATTCTTCTGCATATGGTTAACCAGTTTTCCCAGCCCCATTTATTGAATACGTTATCCTTTCCCCAGTGCTTATTTTTGTTGACTATATTGAACATTAGTTGGTTACAGGTGTGTGGCTTTATTCCAGGGGTCTCAATTCTGTTCCATTAGTCTATGTGCCTGTTTTTGTACCAGTACTGTGGTGTTTTGGTTACTGTAACCTTGTAGTGAAGTATAAAGTTGGACAATGTGATGCCACTAGCTGTATTCTTTTTTGCTTAGGATTGCCTTGACTATTTGGGCTCTCTTTTGGTTCCATATGAATTTTAGAATAGTTCTTTCTCATTTTGGGAATACTGATGTTGGAATAGCATTGAATCTGTACATTGCTTTGGGCAGTATGGACATTTAAATGATATAGATTCTTCTAATCCATGAGCAAGGGATGTTTTTCCATTTGTGTTGTCTATGATCTTTCTCCTCAACGTTTTGTAGTTCCCCTTGTAGAGATCTTTCACCTCCTTGGTTAGATGTATTCCTATGTATTTTTTGTAGCTGTTTACATAGGATTGGATTCTTAATAGTTTCTCAGCTTGAACATTATTGGTTTATAAAAATGCTACTAATTTTTGTACGTAAGTTTTGTATCCTGAGACTTTGCTAAAGACCTGTTTATCAGGTCTAGGAGTCTTTTGGCATTACCTTTAAGGTTTTCTAGGTATAGAATAATATCATCAATGAAGAGAGATAATTTGACTTCATGTTTTCCTATTTTGATGACTTTTATTTTTTCCTCCTGCCTGATTACTCTGGTTAGGACTTCCAGTATGTTGAATAGGAGTGGTGAGAATGTACATCCTTGTTCCAGCTCCTAGGGAAAATGCTTCCAGTTTTTGCCTGTTCATTATGATGTTGGCTGTGGGTTTGCCATAGATAGCCGTGATTATTTTGAGGTATGTTCCTTTGATACCTAGTTTGTTGAAGGTTTTTTATCATAAAGGGATGTTGGATTTTTATTGAATGCTTTTTCTGCATCTATTGAGATGATGATATAGTTTTTGTTTTTAATTCTGTTTATGTGGTGAATCACATTTATTGATTTGCATATGTTAAACCATCCTTGCATCCCTGGAATAAAGCCCACTTAATTGTGGCGAATTAACTTTTGATGTGCTGCTGAATTCAGTTTGCTAGTATTTTATCAAGGAGTTTTGCATCTATATTCATCAGAAATATTTGTCTGTAAGTTTGTTGTTGGTGTTGTGTCTTTGCCAGATTTTGATATCAGAATGATACTGGTTTTGTAGAATGAATTAGAGAAGAGTTCTTTCTCCTTGATTTTTTGGAATAGTTTCAGTAGGATTGGTACCACTCTTCTTTGTATGTCTGGTAGAATTCAGCTGTGAATCCATGTAATCCAGGGCTTTTTCTGCATGATAGGTTTTTAAACAATTATTATTATGATTCAATGTCTTTAGTCATTTTTGGTCTGTTCAGGATTTCTGTTCTTCCTGGTTTAATTGTAAGAGATTATGAGTTTCCAGGAATGTACCCATTTTCTCTAGATTTTCTAGTTTGTTTACATAGAAATATTCATAGTAGTCTCTGAAGATAATTGTATTTCTGTGGGATTGATTGTGATGTCAACTTTGTAATTTCTGATTGTGCTTATTTGGATATTATTTTCTCCTTTGTGAATCTAGCTAGTGGTCTATTGATCTTGTTTATATTTTCAAATAACCAACTTTTTGTTTTGTGGATCCTTTGTATTTTTTATGGGGTCTGAATTTCATTTAGCTCTGCTTTGATTTTAGTTATTTCTTTTCTTCTGCTAGCTTTGGGACTAGTTCTTGTTTTTCTATTTCCTTTAGGTGTGAAGTTAGGTTAGTAATTTGAGATCTTTCTATCTTCTTGATGCAGGGATTTAGCACTATAAACTTTCCTAGTGACACTAGCTTTGTCACATCTTAGAAATTTTGGTATGTTTTGTCTCTATTTTCATTTGTTTCAATTTTTTAAAATTTCTGCCTTAGTTTTGTTATTTACCCAAAAGTTATTCAGGAGAAAGTTGTTTAGTTTCCATATATTTGTGTGATTTTGAGAGTTCCTCTTGGTGTTGCTTTCTATTTTTATTCCATTGTGGTCTGAGTAGATGCTTGGTATGATTTCAATATTTTTTAATTTATTGAGACTTGCTTTATAACCAAGCATGGGGTCAATTTTACAATATGTTTCATGTGCAGATGAGAAGAATGTATATTCTGTGGTTGTTGGGTGGAGTACTTTGTAGATGTCTATGGGGTCTAATCAGTCAAGCATCAAATTTAAGCCGAGAATTTCTTTGTTTCTTTGTTAGTTTTCTGCCACAGTGGTGTGTCTAATGCTGTCAGTGGGGTGTTGAAGTCCCTCAGTATTATCATGTGGCTGTCAAAGTCTTTTCTTAGATCTAGAAGTAATTGTTTTATAAACCTTGGTGCTCCAATGGTGGATGCATATATATTTAGGATAGTTACATCTTCTTGTTAAATTGAACCTTTATCATTATGTCATGCCCTTATTTGTCCTTTTTTAAATTTTTTGGTTTAAAGTCTATTTTATCTGATACAAGAATAACAAACTTGGCTCTTTTTCCGTTTGTGTCATAGATCTTTCTCCACCCCTTTACTATGATCCTATGGGTATTGTTATATGTGAGATGAATCTCCTGAAGACAGCAGAAGGATGGGTCTTATTTTTTAATCCAGTTTGCCACTCTATGTCTTTTAAGTGGAACATTTAGGTCATTTATGTTCAAGGTTAATTGATAATTGATATGTAAGGTTTTGTTCCTGCCACAGTGTTGTTGGCTAGTTGCTTTGTAGTTTCAATTGAGGGGTTACTTTATGGGATCTGTGGGTTATGGACGTGTGTGTGCTTTTGTGGTAGCAAGTAACATTCTTTTATTTCCATATTTAGAACTCTTGAAGGAGATGCTTCTCTTGTAGGGCTGGTCTGGTGGTGATTAATTCCCTTAGCAAATACTTGTCTGGAAAATACTTCATTTCTCCTTCATTTATGAAGCTTAGTTTGGTGAGATATGAAATTCTTGGCTAGCATTTCTTTTCTTTAAGAATGCTAAAAATGGAACCTCTGTCTCTTCTGGCTTGTAAGGTTTCAGCTGAGAAGTCTGCTGTTAGTCTGATGGGCTTCCCTTTATAGATAATATGACCTTTTTCTCTAGCTGCCTTTAAGATTTTTACTTTTTTGTTAGTCTTGGATACACTGATGACTGTGTGCCTTGGGGATGGGTTGCCTTGTATAGTATCTCATCAAAGTTCTCTGGGTTTCGTATCTGCATGTCAACCTTTCTAGCAAGATTGGGGACATTTTCCTATATTCAAATATACTTTCCAAGTTGCTTACTCTCCCTTCTCGCTCAAAAATGCCAGTGAGTCATAGATTTGATCACTTTACATAATCCCTTATTTCTCAAAGTCTTTGTTCATTTTTAAAAATTATTTTTATTTTTGTCTGAGTGGTTCATTGAAAAAACTGGTCTTTGATCTCTAAAATTCCTTCTGCTTGGTCTAGACCATTGTTAAGGTTTCCAACTGTATTTTAAAATTCCTATAGTCAATTTTTTAATTCCAGAAGTTCTTTTTGATTCTTTCTTAGTACAGCTATGTCATCTTCCAAATCTTGGATCATTTTTTCTGGCGCCTTTGTGTTGAATTTCAAATTTCTTTTGAATCTTGTTGAGTTTCCTTGCCATTCACATTCTGAATTCTACACCTGTCATTTCAGATATTTCATTCTAGTTAATATACATTGTTTGTGAGTGAATGGTATCCTTTGGAGGTGATGAAACACTCTGGTTTTTTGTATTGCCAGAGTTCTTACACTGGTTCCTTCTCATCTGACGGAGTTGACACTTCTTTTCTTCCCTTTGAATTTGCCATCATTTGGATAGGGATTCTTGATTTTTTCTTTCTTTTTTTTCTTGGGGGTATGGCTATGGTGTATGTTGTGTATGATCAATTGGCTTTGTTTCTTGGTGCTTTCAGGGTGCCTAAGCTCTTTATGGGTTCATTGGTTACAGATAGGTTGCGGTGGCTTTCTCAGATATTGCTTTTTGTAGCAATGTGGTTTTGTTTGATGGTGTAATTCAAGCTGCAGTCTAGTGTGTGGTATTTAAGAGTAATAGCTGGCAGCTAGGGGCAGGGGCAGAGAAAAATTGGGAAGTGTGAATCGTGCCCTCTCCCAGCACACATTTACCTTCAGTGGTGGTGGAGACACTGGAGAAGCTGTCTCTTTCAACCCATGCTCCCCATGCCCTGATAGGAAGAGCTGCTGCTAAGTCTGCAACACTACACTGAGAAGAAAGGTGGGGGTGAGAGATGACCTCCTCTCCACGTCCATTCCTGGGCTTTGGTGATGCCACCTTCAGTAGTTGGTGCCATGCTTGCATTTTCTTTGACCCAAGGGGGGCTTTGGTGAGCTGTGCTCCCCCTTCCCTTAGGGGCAGATAGTGCTGAGGGTTAGATCTCCAAGGAAAGTGGGGTCTGCCTCCATTCTACTTCTTGGAGCTGATGGGGCACTGTTCCCCAAATGGCCAAGGGAGCAGGCTGGGACACCAGGATTGACACCCACAGACTAGTTCCAGTTTGCAAAGCTGTCCCCGGCTACAAGCCTCACCACCCAGGAGAAACTTTGGCTTCAGAAACTCTCCTCCTGCTCCAGGCCTGTGACAGGAAAAAGACTAATTCCAGTGCCTACTGCTGGGGAACTCTCTGCATTCACCACTCAATTCTGACTGTGGGTGCCCTTCTGCCTTTCCAGAGCAAATGCTGCAAACTCTGGCCTGAGCCTAAAATGTCTGCTGTGGTCACCACTGCCAAGTGGCCAAACAATGTCTTTAAATGCTCAAAATGGTGTCATTTGTGGGTTTGTGGCTGAAGAGGATGGGGTCCCTCTCAGGCAAGTAGCATGGGCAAGAAGCTGTGGAGAGTGCAGTCCATTTACATCTCAGCCTCACAGCATTCTGTTGCAGGGTAGCAAGTACCCTCCCAGGGCTGTGTGGGTGCACCCATTCTCCCCCTTCATCCTTGGAACTGTGCAGCAGCTACAGCCATGTCTACAGATCCCCAGTATCTAGTCTCTCAAAGTGGCTCCCACCTGAGTCTGCTCCAGGCTTGGATGCCTGTGGAATTCTGTGTGGGTTCCCTTTCTGGAGCAATGTTTCTGTGTGATCTTCAGGCAGCTCTATGTCAGACATGAGGCCCAAATGGGTTGAGGTTTTCTCCTGCAGCCATGATCATTAAAGCCTATTTCAGAGCTTTGGGGATTTCTCTCTTACTGTTTCCTTGCATCCATGAGCCTCTCACGCTCAGTCAGTTCCTAGCTGGGCCAGCTGTTTTAAATACTCTCCTTACTTACTTCTGATGTTTCCTGTTTCTTCTCTGATGAATCCAAGCATTCTCTACTAGCTAATTTATTCAAAATATGACTATCTACTTTCTTTCCTTCTTTCTTTCTTTCTTTTTTTGTTTTGAGATAGAGTTTTGCTGTTGTTGCCTAGGCTGGAGGACAATGGCATGATCTTGGCTCACCGCAACAACTATCTACTTTCTACGCTGGCTCTTCTCCATGGAGGAGGCACACAATACTTGTGTCTAGTCAGCCATCTTGATCCCTCCAATTTCTCTATTATTTCTGACAATTGCATGTGAATCTACAATTATCTCAAAATAAAAAGCTTAACTCTTTTTCTCTTTACTGTACTTCTGTTGAAGTTTAAAGACCTCATTATATACCGAATCTTATCCAAACTATTTTCTTCAACAGTTTAAAACCCCATGTGGTGCACACTTTGCCTTTGTCAGGCCTTTTAAAAATATTCCTGCCTGGTCTCAGGTGATACAGGTAACCTAGGGAAACATATTAGAGTTCTCCTTCAGGATGGGAAACCTTCTTCTTGCCCCATATTTGTGGCTGGAGGACAAATAATGGACACCTCAGAGAATGAGAAAGTGTTAGGGAGACTGTGGAAAAGATGAAGTTCAAAAGAGCTATCCCACAAAGTGGTTGATGAACTCCTGGGCTCAACTCTGAGTTTAGCATGTGTCAATCTTACCCTAAATAGCCTACCAAAGGCTTTGGGAATTTAATTATGGACCGGACCGCTGCCCATGTCCCAGACTGTCCACGTCCCAGACTGTCCACTGGATTTCACACACATAAAACAGATTCAAGTAATACAGTGAAGTCTTTGAGAACTGAACAGACCTGTAACCAAAGCCCACAAAAGGTGGGTTGAAACTTGCAGCCTTAACCTAACGAAATCAAATGCTTGTTTTAAAAATAAAATCAAAATTATCATTAGAGTGTAAACAGGACCCAGAATCTCACAGCATAATATTTAAAATATCTAGGATATGATTTAAAACTATTTAGAGAATGAAGAACCAGGAAAACCACAACTTGCAAGAGAATAGAAATCAGGCAAAACCCTGAGCTAACATAGATGTTGGAATTATCAAATACTTAAAAACAGCTATTATAACTATATTGGTTTTCTATTGCTGCTATAACAAATTACCACAAATTTAGTGGCTTAAACAATGCAAATTTATTATGTTGCACTTCTGGAGGTCAGAATTACAAAATGGATCTCACTGGGCTAAAATCAAGGTATTAGCAGGGCTGCACTGCCTTCTGAAAACTCTAGAGGAGAATATGTTCCCTGGCCTTTTGAAGAGAGACTCTGTTTTCCTTGGCCTCTCCATTTTCAGAACAACATGGAGTGACATTGGTCTAAATCTTTTTCACACTGCCATCTCTTTGGTTTTTCCTTTTCTGCCACTGTCTTCTACTTTTAAAAACTCTCATGATTACATTTGACTCACCTGTATAATTTAAGATACTATTCCCATCTCAAGGTCAGCTAATTAGCAAGCATAATTACACCTTCAATCTTAATTCCCTTTTGCCATGTAACTTAACATATTCACAGGTTTTGGAGAAGAGGACATAGATATCTTATCCTTGTTCTTCAATAGGTAAAGTTTTCTTTCCTGTATGGCTTGTATCATAATTTTAGGCTTTGTCTTTGATTTTTAGCAATTTGAAAGTGATATGCCTAGAGGTAGATTTTTGGTATTCTTCCTGCTTGGTGCCCTCTGAGCTTCCTGGATCTATGGCTTGGTGTCTGTTATTAGTTTTGGAAAAATTTCAGTCATTATTTCTTCAAATATTTCTTCTGTTCCTTTCTCTTTATTCTCCTTTTGGTATTCCCATTATGTGTATTTATGCCTATTGTGTTTGTCCCATAGTTGTTGGATATTCTGTTCTTTTTTCATGCTTTTTCTCTTGTTTTTAGTTTGGGAAGTTTCTGTTGACATACTTTCAAGCTCTCTTATTTTTCACATGACTATGTTCAGTCTGTTCATGAGTTCATCAAAGGTGTTCTTTATTCTGATATAGTGTTTTTTATTTCTAGCATTTCCTTTTGACTGTTTCTTAGAGTTGCCAAGTCTCTACATACATTACCCATCTGTTCCTGCTTGTTTTGTATTTTTTTTATTAGAGCCCTAAGTATTAATACCTCAATCATAGTTATTTTAAATTTCTGGTCTGATAATTTCAAAATCTCTACTATAACTAAGTTTTGTTCTGATGCTTGCATTGTCCCTTTAGACTGTATTTTTTTTCTTCTTGTGTGCCTTGTAATTTTTATTGAAATCTGGATATGATGTAGTTGGTAAACTGGAACTGAGATAGGCCTTTAGTGTGAGCTTTTATATTTATATGTTTAGGAGTTAGACTGTGTTTACTGTTTACTGTAGATATTGTGTCAGAGGCTACAATTTCCTCCAGTGTCCATGTTTATGTGTCTCCTAGAGACTTCATCCTTGGGTGTTTCTAGGGACTCCTTTTTAAGTAGGGTCTGAGGCTTGCAGTGCTTTTTGCTATAATCCTATTTCTATACAGAATTCCTATTGAGTTGGTTGTAAGATGTGCAGGAGGGGAAGCATTCTGTAGTACTGTGATTTAGTCCCAGTATTTTAGTGAGCTTGTGCCCTTAAATCGTGACCTTCACAAGTGCTTGTCAGCTTCCTGTTTTCCTATACCCACGTCTATCCTTAGGTGAAATAAGAAGGCCAGATGGAGGCTGGGTTTGGGTATTTTCCTTACCCCCGATTGATCAGGTTTTGGTAAAACCCAACTTGGTTAGGCTCTAGTAACCTAGTTCCCCTTGTTCTCCTTGTTAAGGAGAACAGAGACTTCTGGTACATTTTAAAATAGTGGCATCGGAACTAGAAAAAGAGAGAAATGGTAGACTTAAATCAAATCATATCAATAGAACACTAAATATAAATAGTCCAAACACATCAGTGAAACAACAGCGACTGTCAGAATGTATAAAAAGAAGAAATTGGCCGGGCACAGTGGCTAACGCCTGTAATCCCTGCACTTTGGGAGGCCAAGGCAGGCGGATCACGAAGTCAGAAGTTCGCGACCAGCCTGACCAACATGGTGAAAGAACGTCTCTACTAAACACACACACACACACACACACACACACACACACACAATTAGCTGGGTGTGGTGGGGCGCACCTGTAATCCCAGCTACTCAGGAAGCTGAGGCAGGAGAATTGCTTGAACCCGGGAGGCGGAGGTTGCAGTGAGCCGAGATTGTGCCACTGCACTCCAGCCTGGGTGACACAGCGAGACTCCATCTCGATTAAGAAAAAAAAGAAGAAGAAGAAGAAGAAATCAGGCTGAGCTCAGTGGCTCAGGTCTGTAATCCTAGCACTTTGGGATGCTGAGACTGGCAGATCCCTTAAGCCCAAGAGTTTAAGACCAGCCTGGGCAACATGGTAAAACCCCACCTCTATGAAAAATACAAAAATTAGCCAGGTGCTGGTGGCTCACACTACCTAGGTAGCTGAGGTGGGAGGATTACCTAAGCCTGGAGCCTGGTAGGTCAAGGATCCAGTGAGCTGTGATTGTGCCACTGCAATCCAGCCTAGGTGACAGAGTGAGACTCCATATCAAAAAAACCAAAAAAAAAAAAAAAAAAAGAAAGAAAAGAAAAGAAACCAACCATAAGCTAGCATCCATTTTAAATACAAAGATATAGGTAGGCTAAAAGTAAAATGACAAAAATAGATATACCATGCAAATCCTAACCAAAATAATGCTTGTATGAATTTATTAATATCAGACAAAGTAGATTTCAGAACCAGGAAAATTACCAAGAATAAATAAGATCATTATGTAATGGTAAAAGTGACAGTTCATCCAAAATACATAACAACCAATACATGTGTGTACATCTAATAGCAGAGCTACAAAATATTTGAAGAAAAGCATATATCAATAAAAAGAAAAGGAAAAATTCAGAATCATAGTCAACAACATTAACATTGTTCTTAGTAATTGATAAAATATGTAGAGAGAAAGTCAGTTTAGCAGGTTGAATGACGGCCCCCTAAAAATGTGTCTACCTGAAACCCCTGAATATGACCTACAGTAGTCCTTAAATCTACTAAATATATATTCCAAGACCCCAGTGGATGCCTGAAACCGCAGATAGTACCAAACGCTATACAGTGTAAATGCTGTTTTTTTCTTGTACATAAATATCTATGATAAAGTTTAATTTATAAATTAGGCACAGTAAGACATTGACAAAAATAACTAATATTAAAATAGAACAATTATAACAACATACTGTAATAAAAGTTATATAAATATGGCTTCTCTCTCTGTCTTTCTCTCTCTCAAAATATCTTATTGTACTATACTCACCTATTTTTGGACCATGGTTGACCATGGGTAACTAAAATCATGAATAAGGACGTGCCACTATATTTAGAAAAACACTCTTTGATGATGTAAATAAGTGAAAGGGCTCAAGATGAGATCATCCTGGATTAAGGGGGATCCTAAATCCAGTCACAACTGTCCTTTTACGAGAAGAAAAGGGGAAAACACACACAGAGGGGAGGATTACATAAAAATGGAGGCAGAGATTGAAATAAGCTGTCTACAAGCCAAGGAACACCAAGGATTACTGGAAACCACCAGGAGTTAGGAGACATGTATGGAATATATTCTTTCGCAAAGCGTCTATAAGGAACCAACCCTGTTGACACCTTGATCTCCGACTTCTGGCCTCCAGAACTATGAGTGAATAAATTTATGTTCTTTTAAGTCACTAAATTTGTGATGCTTTGTGATGTCAGCCCCATGAAACTAATAGAGTCAGCAAAAATGTAGAAGAAGTAGAGAACACAACCCTTCAACTAAATCTGATTGACATTCATAAAACACTTCCTCCAACAGCAGTGGAATATACATTCTTTCCCAGTGCACATGAAACATGTACCACATTGTGCTCTGTTGTTTGCATTGTTGATATAGAAAATGATAATATGGTTTTTAAAAAGAAAAGTCAAGTGAGGGGATAGCAAAAGGAAAAACTCTAAAATTGAATCATGAAATAGTATGTATTGATAACATGATTGTATCTAGTTAATTTTTAAGTCAGTGACTCCTAAAGAAAACCATCTGCTGGCAGCAGAGGAAGTCATACTACATGGAAACCATTTCTGAAGATTCCATAACTGAAAACCAGTTAGTATCGATTTTTGATATTTAATTTATCACACTGAAAGATGTAAAATAAGCCATAATAATTTATATTGAAAAGCAAGCCCTATTGTTTGCTGATGATATTTTCTTTTCCCTTTCAATATTTCAGTTCTCGTTCAACTTGGAAAACCATATTATCCTGAACCAAGGGAACATCTTCAAAAAATATTCACACTCTGAAACACCACTGTGTCCAGCAGTTTCACCAAAAGAGACTGAACTTAGAATAAAGGACATTATGGAGAAACTAGACCAGCAGATCCCACCCAGACCTTTCACCCATGTGAATACCACCACCAGTGCCACACACAGCACAGCCACCATCCTCAACCCTCAAGATACGTACTGCAGGGGGGATCAGCTGGACATCCTTCTGGAGGTGAGGGACCACTTGGGACACAGGAAGCAATATGGTGGGGATTTCCTGAGGGCCAGGATGTACTCCACAGCACTAATGGCAGGTGCTTCAGGAAAGGTGACTGACTTCAACAACGGCACCTACCTGGTCAGCTTCACTCTGTTCTGGGAGGGCCAGGTTTCCCTGTCTCTGCTGCTCATCCACCCCAGTGAAGGGGTATCAGCTCTCTGGAGGGCAAGGAACCAAGGATGTGATAGGATCATCTTCACTGGCCTGTTTGCCAACAGAAGCTCCAATGTCTTCACTGAATGTGGCCTGACCCTAAACACAAATGCTGAACTGTGCCAGTACATGGATGACAGAGACCAAGAAGCCTTCTACTGTGTGAGGCCTCAACATATGCCCTGTGAGGCCTTGACCCACATGACCACTAGGACAAGAAATATTTCCTATCTTAGCAAGGAAGAATGGAGGCTTTTCCACAGGTAAAGAGGCTTTTAAATACAATAGCAGATAAAAAGAGGTATCCGACCAAACTCTGCCTAGTAGTTTTGCCTAATCAAACTTTTGTATCATGTCAATTATGTTGACTAAATTATAATTAGGTCCTCAGAGTCAGTTCAGCTTGGAGTGTGTTCACAGGGATCCATACAAGTCACCCCTAGAACTATTTGCTGACAGGAGTATAACCAGTGAAGCACTTAATATAGACCTATAGTTCTCCATGGTTTGCAATACTTCCAGGTTCAGTAATTTTTTATAGACCAGTATTTTCTATAATGTGTTCCAGGGAATACTAATCCTATAGAGTATTAATAGATGCTGTACAATAAAAAAGTGGTGAATGATATCATTGTTCAGTCGAGCTTTACCCCTTACATCCAGTGAATCATCAAGCTCTATACATTATCCCTCCCAACTATCTCCTGAACCCAGCCATTTCTGTCTACCACCATTGCCTCTATCCTTGTATAACCTGCCATCATACCTCAGATCCTTGCAACAATCCCCAGAGCTGATTTCTCTGCCCTCAGTCCTGTTTCTTCCAATCTATTCTCCACACTGCACCTAGACTAATGTTTTTGAAATGCAGTTATGTCTTTTACTATTTCCTCCTTAAAAGCTTTAAGATGACCCCACGGCTCTAAAGGTGAAATTTAAACTCTTTAATATTTTTACAAGGACTTTCCTCCCTTGGCAGCCTCTTGTCTCACCTTTATGCTGCCTTGCCCTCTGTCCGTCAATGGAACTCCTTTTATTTAACAAATGGACCATGTCCTCTCACCTCTGGCATTTCACAAGCTTTGGTTTACACATCATTTCCTCTAGGAAACTTTCCATCTCCCTGAGTGAAGTTCTAGTCCTATATTTTTCCTTAGCATTTTGTTCTTCCGCAACATAATTCTTATTACATTATTAATTTTCCAGTATATTTTTAATATCCTCTGTTAAGTTGTAAGCTCTGCGAGCATTAAGTGTTAACTACTTTTCACCATTCATTCATTTTTTTTTTTTTTTGAGACCGAGTCTCGCTCTGTCACCCAGGCTGGAGTGCAGTGGTGCGATCTCGGCTCACTGCAACCTCCGCCTCCTGGGTACAAGCAATTCTGCTGCCTCAGCCTCCTGAGTAGCTGGGACCACAGGCACCTGCCACCACACCTGGCTAATTTTTGTATCTTTAGTAGAGACAGGGTTTTACCATGTGGGCCAGGCTGGTCTTGAACTCCCCAGCTCAGGTGATCCACCCACTTCAGCCTCCCAAAATGCTGGAATTATAGGCATGAGCCATCACGCCCAGCCCATTCTTTCAATTTATAAGTAGTCAGCACCTTCTGTATTCCAGACACAGCACTAGGTGTTAGGAATTAACATTCTAGTGGGATAGAAGGACAAAAAGTAAATAAACAGATTTGTCTTTTACTATTTCCTCCGTAAAAGCTTTAAGATGACCCCACGGCTCTAAGGGTGAAATTTAAACTCTTTTAATATTAAAACTCTTTAACATGAAGGTCATAAGAGTAACAGTTTCAAACGTGATGGTTGATGCTATTTTAAAACGGTGTCAGGTAAGGCTTGTCTTGAGCAGCAACCTGAGTTAAGTGAGGGAGTAAGTCATGTGAATTTTCGGGAAACAGCATTCTCAAGAGAAGGAATAGGACCTGAGGCAAGAGCATGTTGGAATGTTCTAGGAACCATGGTGGAGGTGGAGTGCAGAAAGGCTGGAACGCGGGAAGTGAGGGAGAGAGAAGATGAGATAGGGAGGCAGGGCCTTAGAAGTCATCTATGTCTGTCAGGAAGTCATTCAGGGCCAGTATTTTGTCTCACAGGCCCAGCACAATGCCTGACACTGAGAAAGTTCTGAATAACTATTTGTTGAATAAAAAAAAATAAGTAAAATAATACAATCTGGAGAAATAATTAAAGTTAAGTTGGTTTCTTTGCAGCAGGACTTCTCAGAAACTTTAATATGTATCCCTTCAAGCAAGAATAGAGCATACAGCATTTCCCAAATTTATTTGGCCACAGACCACTTATTTTATGGATCATTTAAAGAGACTTTGGTTCCCCAGTTTGGGAGCTGCTGCCATAGAAAGGCTTTAGTTTTCTGATATGTCTTCAGAGGGCAAATTTCCAGGATAGCACAATATCCTGGAAATTCAAGTTCAAATCCAATTTAAGCATTATGATGACACAGAGAGCTGGGCACAACTGACCCTACATCACTACAGCCTCTCCCTTTCACCCCTACGTCACCTTCACTTCTTTACATTTTCCTGATCAAGGTATGGAAAAATCTCTTTATCCCCTATGGCTCAGCTAAAAGAAGCTGGGATTTTAAAAATAAATTTTTATGAAGCAAAGGAAAAATAATCATGGAGACATAAAGGTCTTCCTGTCTTGAAGGTCTCAGAATTATGTCTTAAGTCTAAGGGTGGACTTAAGATTCTATACTCTATATGTTTTATATGTGCCTGATTCTATATTCCCTGTTGGCTACAGCTGGATCCCTCTTGAGGTGGTCCTCATTGAAGCCTGGGTTGAAGGTACCATCCTTGCACAGTTGCTGGCTGTGTCTCAGGAAATCCAAAGTCCCTAGTCTGGCAGACTGGCACATACTTTGGGTCCTAATCAGGCTTCTCAAGGGGGCTGTGCTCATGACAGTAATCATGATAGTAAGCTGCTTTATTTCCAAATAGACATAAGTCCTTCCCAGATCCCCTGCTCTATTCAAGCTATTAAGTTTTTTTCTCCTACTGCATGGAAATAGAGATTTCAGTCTCCCTACAGGTGATGTAGTGCATGTGCAAGGAACAGCTGATTACACATCCAAGAAGTCTCATGGACCATTCTATTGCTAAGCTCTAGGGTCCCTTCCTAGACCCAAGCCCAATTCTTTGACATCTTTCCTTCTCACGAATACAGGGACTAAGCCAGTTTCTGTTTCATTTGTAACATAGTACCGTTAACCCTTGAACAACCCAGATTTGAACTGCACAAATCCACTTATATTCAAAGCATTTTCAATCAAATGTGGATCAAAAATATAATATTCACAGGATGCAAAACCTAATATATGGAGAGCTGACTTTTCACATACTTGGGTTCCGTGGGGCTGAATGCAGGACTTAAGCATATGCTGATTTTTGTAGATGTGGTGGGGGTCCTGGAACCAATCTCCCACATATACTGAGGGATGACTGTAAATATATTTTCCCACCTGGGTTCTCTCCCTCAACCTTGGCTGAAGAATCAGAAATGTTACTTCCTAGGATATTTATTTCTTCAAATTAAAAAAGTCTTCTTCTTTTTAAGAGTTTTGTGGATAATCGTGATAAAAACATAAATGAGGAGTTACCATAGGAGAAGACATCACATAGGTAACACAGTTGTTCACTATTCTGTTAGTTTCTATTATGGTCTAATTAATTATAGACCCCTTTTTAAAATTTAATGCACATACACAATTACAAAAACAGGAGACATTAAAATGAATTCCTTTATAACATTAATACATGGTTTTAATCCTAATTTTAATGTAGCATCAAATTTTTCTTTGGTAACCAAATTTACAAGGTAGCCGGGTCTCAATCTCTTTTGTTATCCTCAGCCTTACCTGAGAAAGGTATGGGAGAATAGAGGTTTGGTCAGATTAAATTTCTTAAAGACAAATCTTACTCTTGTGCCAAAAATAGGTCTGATGGGATCCTCAGTAATAATAATTGCAATGATTTGTTGAGCACCTACTATATGCCAACATTTATGTTAGATGCCTCCCTTGTATTATACCATTTATCCTCAGTAAAATACTCTGGAGTGACTATTATTATGCTCATTTTGAAGATGAGAAAATTTAGGCATATTAAATAGGTTGGCCAAAGTCACATATCCAGTTGAATTGCAGAGTCAGAACGGGATTCCCAGTCGATCTTATTCTAAAGTCAATGGGCCATAGTGCTGTCTCCCATGACTCCACCACTCCATGCAGCCATCACGCCCAGCCACCCTGACCTCTCTTCAGTCCTCTGGCCTTCTTGATGAAGGGGATATTATCCTCACTTGACCCAAAAACTCATTTCCTGAGATTCAGGCAATTCTTCTCAATCTTAGAAAGGGCTTTCTCTATCCCTTTTGAAGGTTTCTGTGGCTCTGGCTCTGAAAGGGCCTACCTTCCCCCAGATGGATTTCATTCCGATAGAGTGAATTCAATTTGGCTGGACATAGTCACCATAGTCATTGGGACTGATACCTTGAGACGAAGCTCACTGTGCTGGCACTCGAAATATTATACTGAATAATATTGACTTGATTCCTATCTGAGGGAGATAACAGACTATGAAAAATAGACTCCTGGGAACTCAAGAAGGTGAAGAGTAGATGAAGATGAAGCTGGCAATGTAGACACTCATAGGAGATTTTTATACCAGTTAGGGAGCTTTTTCTGTAGGTTGAGGACAGAAAGTCATGGGAAAGTTTTACATAGGGGAATAAAACAGGTAGCATAGGGTTTGTATTTAGGTGGGATAAACCAAAAGGGCAGAAAGATAGTATTATAATAACTTAGGACAGGGTTCTCAAAGTAATGTCCGTAGACCATTGGCTTTGGGTTAGCCCAAGAGCTTGTTATTATAGAAATCCAAATTCTTGAGAATTTACCCCATAACTGTTGAATCAGAAATTCTGGGTGTGAGGCTCAGCAATTGGAGTTGTAATAAAGTACTGCAGGTAATTCTGATGCACGCTCAAGTTTGAGAAACACTAGCCTTGGAAAGGGTTGATGAGGGCCTGAATTACTACAGGTGGAAATGTGGAGAGGGTAGTTTGTGGTAGAGAGCCATTTAGAAGGTAAAATTAAAATAAGCATAGATAGATAGATAGATAGATAGATAGATAGATAGATAGATAGATGATAGATAGATAGATAGACAGACAGACAGATAGATAGATAGATGTTAGATAGATTTGATGGATTGCGTATGGAGGGTGAATGACTTTCTCTGGATCTCTAGATTCCCTGCCATTAGGAGAGGAACAGCTTTCCAGAATCCTGACCCATTAACTTCCCCAGGATATCTTAAATATATCAAAATAAGGGGGGAAAGGCATTTGGAGAAGAGAGGTTTAATCCATCTAAACCAGTGATTCCTACTTTATTATCTGGGCAGATATTAAGCTAATTTATTTTCCCATTTCTTGCAGGTCCAACATAGGAGTTGAAATGATGAAGAACTTTACCCCCATTGAGGTCATACCATGCAACAGTAAGTCTGGAGTGTTGTTGTCTGCCATGATCACAATTTATCCACGGAAAGGACATGCTTACTTAGAGATATTTATTCCACATTAACGATTTGATCTCTCATTTCCTGGGACAAATTACATCAACCACCTTGGGTTTTAGAGAAGGGATTTTATTCTTGGAAATTATTTTCATATCGATTTAAACCAATTTTCATCCCAAGTCAGATATAAAAGGCTAGGGAAACCATTAACTTCAGTGGCACTGCCTCAAAATGTACAGGCTATTTGTATTTAAATTTAGATTTATTCCTCCAGAGCCAATGATCAGGTGCTGGTGCTATGTGAAAAATGTCTCAGATGAGCTGCACAGATTCAGAGTTAGGACATTTCTTTGGTGGTTTCTAATTTCTCATTTAGCCAAGCCATCTTACTTGAAGTTCTATGAACTAGAATTTCTGTGAATTTTTTCTCAGTTTAATCATATGAACTTTAGTGGTCAACACAAAACCATTTCACTCATAGAAGTGATGATTCTGCTACACGGGAAATGAAGTGAATTTCAAAATTAAAGTAAAGCAAAGGACTTCCATTATAACAATCAACGGGGTGTACCATTACTCATCACCCCTTTTTCATGCATTTAGCAAGTGTTTACTGAGGTCCTACTGTACAAAGAAATTTGCTAAACCCTGTGGAGAACATAAACACAAATAAATCATGAACCCAGATGTAAAGTTCACAATCTATGAAGAAGACAGATCCCTTCTCTGCTAGGGCAACTATCATTCACACCCAACTTTTACACTGAAGAAAGTTCTTAGATTCTTGAGGCAATTTGAATGTTTGTAACACCTCTTTTATTTCCCTCTTGCCTGGACAGTAATTTCTAGTAAAGTCAGGCAGTTTCTTGGAAGATAGTACCAGACTGTAATTTTTGGAGCCACTTACAAATCTGATGTTATTCAATACGAACAAATGTAAGTTCCTCAATGTGTACCCCATATCCCAACAATGCAGGTAGATGACAAAGAAGATGTGCATTTTAAGTGGTGAATATAGAAGTGGCCTCAGAAACTTACCTGGGGGAAAACTCAATAGGAGTCAGTAAATACAGTTTAGGCTATTTTAATAGAGGAGTGTTCAGAACAGGGAGGTCATGATCCTACTTTTTTCTGTGTCAGATCACACTGAGAATATTACATTCAGTTCTAGACATGACAATTAAGATTTAAGGATTTTAAAAAAAGTATTAGCCAGAGAAGATGATTCTGGGACACACAAAATAAACAATGTGACACACTCATTTCATAAACACATTCAAGCTTCTTTTCCTGGATTAGTAGTTTGAGGAAGATGAGATTTACAATTCAGCGAGGCCAATGTCATTGGTGTAATATTTGGCAGGGCCACTGTGCCCTGCTATTTCACGGCCACACATTTCCTCCTGACTCTGGCTGGCTGTTCCACAGCAGCGTGGCTCTGGGGACAAGGTGGAGCCCAGGGACACATTGCAAATGCACAAGAGTCAACAGATCCCCACTCCAAGAAAAACTATTCAAGAAAAGCTATTTAATTCACCCTTTTAACATGATCTTATTAAATAAATATTTGTGGAAGAGAGGAAGGCAAAATAGAGCTGAAGAGAAAGGGGGAGGAAAAAGAGGAAAAGGAAGGCAAAAATGAGAAACATTTTTCCAAAATAATTTGTGGTAATAAAAATTACTTAATCTGGAAATTTGTATTGCCAGAGAGCGAGAACATAAAAAAGAACTGCCAGATTGGAATGAAGACTCCTTTCCCCAGTGGTTATACTTTGAAAAAAATGTGGATTACAGCATTTTGTAAACAGATCAAGTTCAATGAAACAAAAAATATAAATGACTGCTTGGAAAGAAAACTTATTTATCTCATGGGAGATTCAACACTGCATCAGTGGATTTACTACTTACAAAAAGCTGTGAAAAGTATGTATTTAATTTATATTTTGAAATTCTATTTGACTTTTGAGGGTTTTGAAATAATAATTAGAATTATTTGCTTTTCTTTTCTAATATTTATTTTATTTTATTTTATTTTATTTTATTTTAAATTTGCCTAACTTTTGGCTTTGGGCTTTTAATAAAAAGTTAAATTTTATCTTTTCATTCACAAATGTTAATATTTTTCTTCCTCTTCATGTATTCTCATAACAAGTTCAATATTTTGTTAAGATTGTAATGCACCTGGTAAAATTATCCACCTTACATAGGCAATAGTGCTTAGTTAGAAGTGATCTTGGTTAGAATTTTATACATGTTGTGTGCAGTTTAAAGTTATATCATTTTCCTTTTGTTAAAATATTTATTGATTTGTCTTTCATCAGCCCTAAAATATTTTGATCATCATGGAGCTGGGATCTTTAAAACACATGTTCTTCTGGATGTTGAAAGACATATTTTGATTCAGTGGAAAAAACATGGTCATCCATTTGTTACCAAAAAATTATTCTCAGTGAAAGATGAAAACTATATCCCACGGGAAATTGACCAGGTAGCAGGAGACAAAAACACAGCCATTGTCATTACCCTCGGCCAACACTTCAGACCCTTTCCCATCAACATTTTCATCCGTAGGGCCATCAATATTCAAAAGGCCATTGAACGTCTATTCTTGCGAAGCCCGGAGACCAAGGTGATACTTAAAACTGAAAACACCAGAGAGATAGAACAAAATGCAGAGATGTTCAGTGACTTTCATGGCTATATTCAGAATCTTATCATAAGAGATATTTTTGTGGATCTTAATGTGGGTATTATTGATGCCTGGGACATGACGATTGCATATTGCACCAACAATGCCCATCCACCGGATTATGTGATTCAAAATCAGATTGGCATGTTCTTAAACTACATTTGTTAGAGGAAAAATACAAAAATAGCACTAGCCACTTTCTATAGATGATCTCACATATACAGCGAAGATAGTTTAATGCAATCCAAGTTTTGAGGAAACTAAATTTGAAAAAGTTCTATTAAAGTTAAATATATGTAACATAACATTTACCATTTAAGCCATTTTATTATTTTATTTTATTTTTGAGATAGAGTTTTGCTCCTGTTGCCCAGACTGGAGTGCAGTGATGTGATCTTGGGTTACTGCAACCTCCACCTCCAAGGTTCAAGTGATTCTCCTGCCTCAGCCTCCCAAGTAGCTGGGATTACAGGTGCCCACCACCATGCCAAGCTGATTTTTGTATTTTTTAGTAGAGATGGGGTTTCACTATCTGGTTGGCCAGGCTGGTCTCGAACTCCTGACCTTAGGTGATCTGCCCACCTCGGCCTCCCAAAGTGCTGGGATTACAGGCATGAACCACCATGCCCGGCATTATTTTATTTTATTTTTCGAGACAGTCTCACTCTGTCACCAAGACTGGAGTGCAGTGGCATGATCTCAGCTCATTGCAACCTCTGCCTCCCGGGTTCAAGCGATTCTCCTGACTCAGCCTCCCACGTAGCTGGGATCACCAGTGTGCAGCGCCACACCTGGCTATAAACCATTTTTAAGCGTACAATTCAGTGATATTAAGTAATTTACAATGTTGTGAAACCCTCATCATGATCCATCTCTGGCACATTTTTAACATTCCAAAAAGAAACTTGGTACCTATTAAACAATAACTCCCCATTCGCTCCTGTCCTTGGCCCATGGCAACCGCCATTGTATTTTCTGTCCTTCTGAATTTGACTATTTTAGGTAGCTCATATAAGTGGGAACATGCAGCATTTGTCCTTTTCTGTCTGGCGTATTTCACTTAGCATATGTCTTTAAGGTTCATCCATATTGTAGCATTTGTCAGAATTTTCCTTCATTTTTAAGACTGAATAATATTCCGTTGTAAGTATGTACTACATTTTGTTTATCCATTCATTTGTTGATCGACATTTGGGTTGTTTCCCCTTTTGGCTACTGTAAATAGTGCTTCTAGGAAGAGAAAACCAAATTTAAAGGCATGTCTCCAGTGCTGAGCATGATGATTGAATAGCAAATCATCATCACCCATAATTTGAAGACATGTGCAGCCCAGAAATGCATAGATTAAATGATTCAAGTTTAGAGAAAATGTGATGTATACAGGAAAACTTAGTGGGATCATAATAGCAGTCTTCTTGCTTAGGAAAATTATTTGGAACTTAGTAACCAGTTGTTCTCTAGATTCCAGTAAGAATCATGGATCACACTTCAAAACCCACAGGCTCATTGAGAGAAAACAACTTAGTATTATGTTAACGTACAGACCCCAAAACCTTGATTCTTGGATATCCTAAAATATGATTTGGGATCCCCTCCAGAGGGCCTCAAATGACAAATTTTGTCTCTAAATCTTCCTCTCATTAGAAAGATATACACCCTTTCTATTAATATACTCTAGGTCTCAAGAGTAGGAATATTGTTATTAAGGATACTTCCCCTCTTAGGACTGTGTTTCTTAGTTAGAGGAAGTGAAGTTATAATGCTGTAACATCAGTACAAAGTTTGGGTCGTCAGGAGGTGGAGGTTGCAGTGAGCCAAGATTGCACCACCACACTCCAGCCTGGGTGACAGAGCGAGACTCCATCTCAAAAAAAAAAAGAAAAGAAAAGAAAAGAAAAGAAAAGCCTAGGTCATAAGTCTGGGTCATACACTTTAGCACCAGACTTCTCTAAATAGGGAACTCACGTTAGAAATTTCTTCCTTGTATCAAGCTACTTATTGGTTCTAATTCCTCCTTTAGGAAACTTTGAAAGTAAATTTAATTATTCTTCCAACCATTGCAATGTTAATTGCTTAAATGAGTTATCGTTTTCCCATGAAGACCATCTCAAATTCCTTCAACCTGGTTCTGACATGATAGTTTCTAGTTTTCTTACCTTCTCTTCACATGCACTGAAGTTTGTCTATATCACTCTACAACTCACTCTACAATGTGCCTTCTCCCTCATCTCTCACCTCAACAAATTGAATGTTTTAATTTAAATGTGATCCATTAGCCCCTATAAAAGAGGGTCTATTATTTCTCTTGTTCTAGAATTGCACTGTACAACACAGTAGCCATTAGTTGCATAGGGCTATTTAAATTTAAATTAAATTAAGTAAAAAATTAGTTCCTCAGTTGCACTATTCACATTTCAAGTGTTCAATAGCCACATGGAGCTAGTGGTACTATACAGATAGCACAACATGTGCTTGCATTCTTCTCTAGAAAGTATTTTTTAATGTTTTGTCATTGTAATTGGTTGCATTTTTAAAAGCAAATTCCATAATGCGTTATCATTTTTCGTGGTGAGTAAAAAACAAAAAAAATCACCAAATGTTGGTAAGTGTCAAGTCTCTGACTTTTAAGCCATTTACTTCTTGTTTATTTTTTAAAGAAATTCTGGTATCTAAATATTTCATAATGTTTTGGCTTAAGGTGATAGCTTCAGGTTATTGCAGATAATGACTATATTGCTAATATACAAGACTTGAGCAAGCCATTTGAAATCATAGAAATGTTCTCTATTGCTATTATCAAACCTCTTTCAAAAACCCATTTATGCACAATGGAATAAAACAAAACTAGAAATCAATATCAGATGCTGGGTGTGGTGGCTAGTGCCTATAATTCCAGCACTTTGGGAGCCAAGGCGGGCGGATCATGAGGTCAGGAGTTTGAGACCAGCTTGGCCAACATGGTGAAACCCTGTCTCTACTAATCATACAAAATAGCTGGGCATGGGGGCACATGTCTGTAGTCCCAGCTACTCGGGAGGCTGAGGCAGGAGAATCGCTTGAACCCGGGAGGCGGAGGTTGCAGTGAGCCAAGATCATGCCATTTCATTCCAGCCTGGGTGACAGAGCGAGACTCTGTCTCAAAAAACAAAAAAGAAAAAAAAAAAGAAATCGATAGCCGAAAGAAAATAGGAAAATCCATAAATATTTAGAAATTAAACATTGCACTATTAAACAGCCTATGGGTCAAAGAAGAACACACGAGGGATTTAGGAAATACCTGGAGACAAGTGAAAACAAAAATACAACACACTAAAACTTATGGGATGCAGTAAAAGTGGCAATAACAGGGAAGTTCATAGCAATAAATGCTTACATGAAAAAAGAAAAATGTTTGCAAATCAACAGCCTAACTCTGCCCTTCAAGGAACTAGAAAAAGAAGAACAAACCAAGTCCAAAGTCAGCAGAAGGAAGGGAATAATAAAGATTAGAACAGAGATAAAGGAAATAAAGTAAACATAAACCATAGAAAAGATCAAAAAAACTAAGAGTTGGTTTTTCAAAAAGATCAAAAATTTAACAAATTCATAGCTAGACTAAGAAAAATAGAGAAGACTCAAATAGCTAAAATTATAAATGGGCAATGAGACATTAAAATGGATGTCACAGAAATAAAAATGATTTTGAGAGACTACTATGAACAATTGTACGCTAACAAATTGTATAACCTAGAAGAAACTGATAAATTCATAGAAACATACAACCTACGAAGACTGAATCATAAAGAAATAAGAAATTTGAACAGACCTATAACTGAGAGGACATTGAAACAGTAATCAAAAACCTTTCAGTAATAACGACAACAATAAAAAGCCTAGGCCCAGATGGCTTCAGTGGAGAATTCTACTAAACATTTAAAGAAGAATTAACACCAATCCTCAAACTCTCCCAAAGAATAAGAGGAAGGAATGCCCCAAACTCATTCTATGAGGCAAGTATTACCCTGACACCAAGACAAAGACAAGAAAAGAAAACTACAGGCTGATATCCCTGATAAGCATAGATGCAAAAACCCTAAAAAGAAGGAATACTAGTAAACCAAATTCAATAGCTCATTAAAAGCATCATATACCATGACCAAATGGCAATTATACCTGGAATACAAGGATGGCTCAACATATGAAAATCAGTCAATGTAATGTGCCACATTAACAAAATAAGGAACAAAAACTACATGATCATCTCAATTGATGCAGAAAAAGCATTTGACAAAATTTAACATCCTTTCATGATAAAAACAATCAATAAACTATGAATAGAGGGAAACTATCTCAACACGATAAAAGCCATACACGAAAAGCCCACAGTTAATACCATATGCAACTAGGAACTACTGTTTTTCCTCTATGATCAGGAACAAAGCAAAGATGCCCATCCTTACCACTACTATTCAACATAGTACTGAAATTTCCAGCCAGAGCAATTAAGACAAAACAAAACAAAAAAATTTTGTTATATATAGCATATGACAAAAAAAAGAAAAGACACACAATTGGAAAAGCAGAAGTAAATTCTCTCTGTTCACAGATGACATGATCTTATATTTAGAAAATCTTAAAGATTCTGCACAGAAACTATTAGAACTAGGAAATGGATTCAGCAAAGTTTCAGCACACAAAACCAACACTCAAAAATCAGTTGCATTTCTATACCAATGACCAATTCAAAAAGAAAATTAAGAAAACAATCCCATTTCTTACAGCACCAAAAAGGATAAAATAGCTAGCAATATACTTAATTAAGGAGATGAAAGACCAAAAAGTATAAAACATTGCTGAAAGAAATAGAATACAAATAAATGGAAAGATATCCCATGCTTGTGGATTGAAAGACCTAATCTTGTTTAAATATCATACTATCCAAAGCAATCTACAGCTCCAGTGCAATCTCTGTCAAAACCCAGTGGCATTTTTTGTAGAATTAGAAAATCATAAAATTCATGTAGAATCTCAAGGGATGTTGAGTAGCCTAAATAATATTGAAAGAGAAGAACAAAGTTGTAGGCCTCACACTCCTTGATTTTAAAACATACTTCAAAGCAACAATAATTAAGATGGTGTGGTACTGATATAAAGATAGCTATGTAGACCAATGGAACAGAACAAAAAGCCCAGAAATAAACCCTGGCATATCTGGCTACATGATTTTCAGGAAGTGTGCCACAACTACACAGTAGGGAAAAAAAGAACAGTCCCTTTAACAAATAGTATTGGGAAAACTGAATATTGACATGCAAAAGAATGAAGCTGGACTCTTACTTTATAGCATATACAAAAATTAACTCAAAATGGATTAAAGACCTAAATGTATCACTTCTCGGCCTTTTGGCTAAGATCAAGTGAAGTCCTAAATGTAAGATCCAAAACTATTAAACTTCTAGAAGAAAATAGAAGGGAAAGGATTTAGGACAGTAATTTCTTGGCTATGACACCAAATGCAAGGCAACAAAATAAAAAAACAAACAAACAAATGGGACTACATCAAACTTAAAAACTTCTGCATAGCCATAGAAAACAATCAACAGAATGAAAAGGCAACCAACAGTATGGGAAGAAATAATTGCAAATATTATATCTGATAAGGTATTAATATCCAGAATATGTAAAAAAACAAATAGATTTAAAAATTGGCAAAGAAGTTGAATAGATATTTCTTCACAAAAGATATACAAGTGGCCAATAAACACATAAAAAGATGTTCAATATCACTAATCATTAGGGAACTGCAAATCAAAATTACAATGAGGTATCACCTCACATCCATCAGGATGGCCGCTATCAACAGAACACAAAACAGCAAGTGTTTGTGAGGATGTGAAGAAGTTGGAACCTTTGTGCACTGTGAGTGGGAATGTAAAATAGTGCAACCATACATACCGAAAAACAGTACGGAGGTTCCTCACAAATTAAAAGTAGAATTGCCATACAATCCAACAATCCCACTGTGGCTAGATATTCACAAAGCAAAGTGAATTATTTCCAAATAATTCAAGGAGATACTTGCACACCCATGTTCATCACAAGACTATTTCCAATAGCCAAGAGGTGAAGCACCTCAAATGTCCATCAACAGGTGAATAGATAATGAAAATGTGGCATATACATACAGTGAAAAACCATGCAACCTTAGTAAAGGAAGGAAATCATGTCACATACACACATGGATGAACCTTGAGGATATTATGCGAAGTGGAAGAAGCCAGTGACAAAAGGATAAATACTATAGGATTCCACTCCTATGATGTATTCATAGCAGTCAAAATCATAGACACAGACAGTAGAAAGGTGGTTATCAAGGGCTGGTAGGAGAGGGAGTTAGTATTTAGTGGTATAGAGTTTTAGTGTTTCCGGGTAAAAATGTTCTAGAGATCTGTTGCAACCATGTGAATATACTTAACACTACCGTACTGTACACTGAAAAAATGGTTAAGAGGATAAATTTAAATGGTTAAGAGGAAAAATGGTTAAGAGGATAATGTTGTTTTGTTACCACAGTAGTAACTTTTAAAAACCCTCATGTATGTTCTTTCCCTTTCATGGCAAATAAACTTAAATGTGGAAATCAAGAGTATGTCATTTCTTTGTCCAACTTGCTAAAATGAAATACAATTGTCCCTCTATGTATGTGGGGAATTGGTTGCAGGACACCTATGTAGATGAAAATTCACTCATGCTCAAGCCCCGAACCTGAGTATATGAAAAGTTGGCCCTCTGTATACATGGGTTTAACATCCTGCAAATATTTATTTCAATATTTGATCCACATTTGATTGAAAAAAAGTCAGATATAGGTGGACCAGTGCAGTTCAAACCCCTGTTGTTCAAGGGTCGACTGTTGTCTCAGTTGTTCAGTATCCATTAATGACTTGAATTCTCTATTTTCTTCGATACTGAATCAACGTTAGGAGGCATGTGATTAAAAACAGTTCTCTGTTAATAAAGGAGCAGGTGAGTTGGCATTCAAGTACAAGTCTTGCTGCACACATAGCTGCTGCTCTCATAGGAGTAATCCCAATCTTCTTTTCCAGTCTACACCATGGATCGCAAAATAATTTGTGTAAAAATTCTTCCTGTACAGCATGAGTTTTCAATGACAACCAGATGCAAAAAGTCATCAAGTGCTTCAGGCTCTTATACATGCTGCACAGATGCCAGGAATGTATTCTTGCTCCGCATATAAATCATTTCCATCTACTATAAAGCAAAATGTGTTCTAGTACATACTTTTTCATTCACATTATGTGCTATTGACAGTATGTTTGTATAACAGTATCATTTGATATAGGAATTTTGCTGACTTACTTCTGATTTAGCATCAACTATATGTATCATTAGCTTGTGGTTGGCTTTATAAGCTTCTTGCCAGTGCTTTGTGTTGTACCTTTTTTCACTATCAGGAGTACAATGACAAATGATAACTTGGTAATTCTAGTCTTTTTTCTTTTTACTTTATTGACAAAACTCATCAAGTTGATACTGGAAACCAATATCTTGTTCTTGTTCATTCTTGTTCTGGAGAAAAGTAAATTGCCTTAGCAGAGAGGTGAGTGTGCTTTGCCTGACAATTATATAAAAGTCTTTGATGGCTTTAGTCCTCTATAGGCTAGGACTTTTATACAGGTGATAAAAATCTACCTCAAAGTAGCCTAAGGAGGAGTGGGAAGCACTGAATTAACTCAAAACTGAGAAGGCAGAAAAAGTGCAAAATAATTGAGGGATGTTGTATCCAGATATTTGAAGGATATGGCCAGGCCTCTGTATCTCCCATGCCACCTCTCGGCTCTGCAGTTTTCTGTTGGCTTCATTTTCAGGCAGGTTCTTTACATGTGGCAGCTGAAAGGTTGTATGATCCTTGTGATTTGTGACCTCACAGTAATAGAACACTTTCCTAGCACCTGTATATAGATAAAAATAATAGGGAAGGCTGGACGCAGTGGCTCACACCTATAATCCCAGCACTTTGGGAGGCCGAGGCAGGTGGATCATGAGGTCAGGAGTTCGAGACCAGCCTGGCCAATATGGTGAAACTCCGTGCCTACTAAAAATACAAAAATTAGCCGGGCGTGGTGGCACACGCCTGTAATCCCAGCTACTTGGGAGCCTGAGGCAGAAGAATTGCTTAACCCGGGAGACAGAGGTTGCAGTGAGCCAAGATCATGCCACTGCACTCCAGCCTGGGCGACAGAGAGAGACTCTGTGTCAATAAATAAATAAATAAATAAGGAAGACTCTGGTTGTCCCAGTTTGGATCACAATTCCATGCTGAAATCAATAACACTGGTTGAGGATAGATTATTTTGATTATCAAGCCTGTACAATATGCCCACTCCTGTGGACAGATTTTATTGCTAGAAGTGAAGGAAAGAATATACACATAAAATATTTTTCTTCTATTGCAGACACTACTTAAAGTTTCATCAAAAATAATACCCAAGAGGCAAATAGACTAATGATCCAATAAAATTCAGTTTTCAGAGATTCATGCTTATATTTCTTTTTAGCACATTTTGTTCTATGTAATTGCGCAAAATCAACACATTCACAGATAATTTGAAAAGAAGCTCTTCTCTTTATATTTAAAAAGTTATTTTGAGTTGAAGTATTTCTGTTACTAATGTTTTCAACCTCTTTTACATTCAATAATTCACTCTTAAGCCTTTGATTGATTTATTTTATGGTGAAGATATAAAATTACATAATAGAAACCAATAAATTGTAAAGAAAAACCCATAGTAATGTAAAATAAATACATGTTTATGAAGACCAAGGTGCTCCAGGTTAACTGAATCTTAGTCAAGATTAACTGATCAGATAAACTTTATGATTCATGCACCATTTTTAAGAAAGCAATTTTTATGAAAAATATAGTGAAACTGTGGAAAAATCATAAACTACAATTTAAATTTATGAAGTATAAATAAACAAAATGTTTAAATGCTTTTCTTTGAGAACTACCAAAATAGCTTCTGAGCCCTTCATAGATGACCTCAGACCATACTCTGAGAACTGGCTCTTTTGCTTCTCAGAGCATTTTCAGAATCAGCTTTTCCACATGCCTGTGTACCACAACCACCTAAGTAGCTGTTTAAAAACCTGCATTTCCACATCTAGCTTCTAACCGATCAAACCAGACTTTTCTTGGGTGATGCCCAGGAATCTGTATGTTTAGTCTTTTAATGTAATTATAATACATCTCTGTTGGCACCTGGCAATACGACCAATTTAGGAACCACAACCTAAAGTATCCTCTTTCCAGTCTATTTCCCCACTGTCAAGCAACTTACACATGCCCATTCATCCTGTCCATGTACCCCCTCGGTTTTCATTTAAACCTATCACCTGGCTGGGTTTTTACCAATGGTGCCGTTGGAAGAACAGGGAAGCAGCTACCAAGATAGGAAACTCATAATCTTTATGGAAGTTTCATCAGCAGCCTGATTACCTGGCAGCTTGTTTCTCCCTTCACCTACTCTGGATCCAAAGAAACTAGGTCTTTCTGCCTCTTCTGCATGTCATGAAAAAAGGGATTCTGATGCTCCATGGAGATCACTCCATTTTCTGCACATTAATTACCCCAGGAAGAGGGGAGGAGGGATGAGGCATGAAATAAAAATGCTCGGGAATATAGGTGGGTATGTTTCCTGTATCCTCCCTTACTCATCTCTGTCTTAATTATCTGGATCTCAGAGATATTTATATGTGCTTCTGGCATGGTGGGACCTGGGCAGAGAAATTATTCTGTGCCAGTTTTCAAATATTTGGTCAGTGTATATGGAGAGGGCAATATGAAGACTGTGCAGTGGTACAGCAGAGAAAGCTCCGTGATGCCCCTAATGTCTTGAGCAATCTAGTTGTGACCTCAACGTTGCACATTCCACTGAGCCAAATAAAAGCTCTGTGATTAGGAGACCTGCCCTACTCAGAAGGCAGTTTGGTATCAGTCCATTGCCACTTGATTATGTTTCTTAAGGGGTAGGCAGGTGCTATTTTAATGTTCCATACTTTAAGCAGTTTATCGATTTTTTTTCCAATGACAAAGAACACTGTCTGTGAGAACAATTGTAATGAGTAGTTTCTGTCTTTCTATATATTTGGTGCTAGTTTACAGCAGGGGTCAGCAAACTAACAGCTGCCAGCCAAATCCAGCCTGCAGCCTGTGAGCTAAGAATAATTTTTTAAAAATCTTTTTAAAGATTTGTAAAAATAAAACAAAGATTAATATGTGGCCTGTAATGCCTAAATTATTTACTATCTGACCCTTTACAGGAAAATTTGCTGATCCCTGAGTTAGAGGCCTTTTAGACTGACGTACCTGGTTACTAACTGGCTGACCCTCTTAATTTAACTCTTCTTGGCTCCACCATGAAGACCAGCTAAGAGTAATTTCTGACCTAGTTCTAATATCTGCCTTCCAGTTTACCAGATCCCAGTGGTGTGCAGATGAACAGTGGTGTGCAGAACCAGCTCTCTGGACGTAAAAGTCCTGATTTGTAGCATCTGCCAGTTTTTGTTGTGTAAATACTCCCTTCCATGGCTGATTTTAAGCTACCAAAGTGATGTCCCTGAACGTGGAAATGGGAATAGATGCACACAGTCAGATCTTGCTAGATGATACAAGTCGTCTCCAGCACACCATAGCCAGATCCCAAATGTTTCAAAGTATCTGACATGGTGGAAAGAACATCATCTGCAACTGGTTAAATATTCCTAAGTTCAAACCCAGTCTTCACCACTTAATGAACTGCATAATCTTCGATAAGTCATTTAACTTCCATGAGTGTGTTTTTACATTTGCGAACCTAAGATAATGCCACACATCTTTCAGGTAGAAGAGTTTGGGAATAGTAAGAGCAGGTACTGGTGAATACACTACACAGTTCCTGGTACACATCTTCCCACTTCCCCCCACTGAGAGGAGGTTTCTCATTCCCTCCTCCCTCATCTTCTCGACAGCTCTCTGTGTAAACCACAACTGGATGTGAGCCCAGTAAATCTTCCTTCTAGGTTTGTTGGGGGAGAGTGAGGGTTACCAGAAGTGTTTGGGCCCTAGGAAAAGTTTGAGGTCTGAGAGAGTTGGCTGGGGCCTGCTACTAAGCAGGACAAACTTGGAAGAATAAATTAGATAGCATGTCCTGAGCATGTCTATCACGGGAGAATGTCCGTTTGATTCCATTTTAAGGGCTGAGTTCTGCTGTTATTTTTCTCTGTGTCTACAATGCTGGGCTCAATTGTGTAGTCTATAGAGCAACTCAATATATAATTGCTGTATGAATGAATGAATAATAAATATCAGCAATAAATTAATACAATCATGATCATCCCAGCGATTAGGAAACTGAGCTCTGAATAGCCTGGATTCAAATCCCAACCTGGTTCCTTACTATCAGATCTGTATCTTTGGACAAGTTATTTAACTTCTCTGTATTTTGGTTTCATAACTTGTAAAATGAATGCTATTAGCAATTATCTCATAGAGTGGAGTTAAAGTACTTAGTGAAATAAGCCTGGCGCATTGCAGGTACCCAATAATATAAGCTATTATTATCATTACCATCAAAGTCAACATTAACAACAAAACACACATTGAAATCTACTATACATCATGCTCTTAGTTGAATCTATTAATCCAATCATCACTTCAAGGAGAGAAAACATGCAACAATATGACTACCACTCTAATGTGTCACAATGCCTAATTTTAATAAACCAAATTCATTGCAACTAAATATTTACATTCTTTTGATCTCTCATGCTCATCAAACTAAAGGGGCAAAGGCTACAATAATTGTGGGATAAAAGCTGAGGTTCTCTTACACTTGAGGGGTCTGAAAAGAAACTCCAGGGGGCTCCCAGTGGTCAAATATGGGACAATTTGAGCACCAAAAAGGAAAGAATGACTGTAAATGTTTAAAAACACATTGAATTATACTTGATGTGTGTATGTTTGAGGCAGAGAGAGGGAGGAGACCTTATTTATCATCATTGGAGGTAGCTAGTGTAGACATATTGCTGTGGTCTGAATGTTGGTGTCTCCCTAAAATTCTTATGGTGAAACTGAACCCCCAAAGTAATGGTATTAAGAAATGGGGCTCGCTCTGCTCTCTCCTTGCAAAGAGTTAATCATTTCTGTTTTAGTCCATCACAAACTTAAGTCTGTACTCCTCCTTAATGATTATACTAACATTAGAAGAAATCCACTGAGTGATCGTTGGGAAGGATGAGGAATTTAGAACACTTCCAGCTTCTCTCCTCCACTGTAAGATCTGTTCCTTGTATTATTAGTTTCAGTTCTTCTGTTGTTTTTTATTAGTTTCAATTATATCCTCAAACCTCTATTTCATGTTAGATGTCGTGTAGTCAGTGTATCTTTACTGCCAACATGTGAGATAAATAATAATGCCCCTCCACTACTTCCTCCTTCCTTTTACCTCCCTCCCAATCCAAACCCAGGAAATGACAGAAATAATATGTTTAAAGAACAAATTAATAACCATTCTAGGAAACAAGAGAAAGTAACAACACCAGATGAGAAATATGAGCAATCTGAAAGTCAGAAAACAGTGTTTGTCCTGGGGGATATGAGGAGGCAGCAGCCTAATGTGGCAGAGGACTGGGTGCCACAGGCTCAGGAGGGTCGGGGAGCTGCTTGGTTGTGCCTTGGCTTCTCTTCACATTGTCCTTGGTGGACGTTTGCCCGTTCTGTTGTCATTGTGCACACCTGATGTGAATCAGAGGTGACCATTAGATCCATTGAATGCATATGGGCAGAGAAGGAGTTTATAACAGTCACAGACTTTGCTTCTCCAGGCCTAATGGACAATCTGCAGAAGCAGCTGTCGCCAGCCTCAAGTGCTCACCTGGACCTGCTTCTAGAGGCTGTGGTGATGAGGGTCAGGCCACAGGGCATGCGGCTCCTCTGAAGCAGTTTCCTGGTCGTGTTTAGAGGCTGGGAGCCTTGAGAGGTGAGTGGGCCCTGAGCGGGTATGGTACTTTGGCTAGTGTACAGGGCCCCTGAAGACCCTGTCCTGATTCTCCTCCATCAGTCTTTCTTAGACCTACTGCCTCCTAACACTTGCTTGGTTCCCATTATCATGCTGTCGTGCTTCTTTCAAACCCAGCTCAAGTGCCTGGACATATATCCTTCAGTCTGCAGCTGAACATGGACAGTGTTTGCTGCACTGGCTGGGGCACAGTTGGGGTTGTCTCTGACCTCTGCAATGATCAAGTCTTGGTTCTTTTCTCACCTATCGGCAGCATTTAATGATTTAATGCTATCTCCTCCTTGAAACCATTTCACTTGTTTCTAGGGAGGCTGCTTCTGTAGTGTTCTGTTTTTAAGAACCCCTTCAGGAAAATAAAGTCAGAGCAGTGCAAGTAGAATGAATGGTTTCTTATGAATATATTCACCAGTTGGCATGGAGGGCCCTGAGCCATTGGATCTGAGCAGCACCCTGCATATTAACAGAGGGGCGACTCAGCTAGGGGAAGACCGACTACAGGGGAGAGAGTCTCACCTGAGTCAAGCCCCAGCCTTCTGAATCCCTTGATATATCTGAAGGCCTGCTTCTCCATAAAGCAAGTGTTTCCTCTGAAGTTAACAACAAACATTTTGCTGTTTCTGCTTTTCATATGTGTCGGGGTAGCACAGGCCACATGTTCAGGTTCATACCTTAGAAAGCTTCTGGGTCAAAAGCTGCAGTGTCCAATTCAGTAGCCACTTGCCATGTGTGGCTGCTAAACACTTGAAATGTAGCTGGTGCAAATGCAGGTGTGCTCTAAGTGTAAAGTGATCACCAGATTTCAAAGCAAAAAAACACCAGAATATAAAATATCTCATTAATAATCTTTATGTTGATGATGTGTTGAAATGATTATAGGTTGAATATATTAAGTTAAAATATGTTATCAAAATTAATTTATTTCCTTATACTTTTAAAATAGGTTTACTGGGAAATTTCAAATTACTTGTCTGGGTTACATTTCTATTTTTAATGTATTCAGGTCCAGGCACAGTTGAGCTCATGATTTTGTACTGAGGTCACTCTCAGAGATGGTTTAGGAGGATCTGATAAAGAGCTTCTTATTCTCTAGAGAGCAGTTACCACTTTTTTCCCTTAGGTGATGAACAGAAGAGACATCTTGACCCAGATGAACTTGATGAGATAGATCCCATTGTTAAATTGGTTACCCTTACTCAAGCACCTGCCTGCAGTCCTAGCCTATAGGAAATCCCCTGCTCCTGCCCCCACATACACCTTTTCCTTTCCCCCAGGAGTTCTCTCACCTTCAGCAGGATGTTAAGATGACCCCTCTGAGGACCATCCTGGGGGTTGCGGGTTGTGAGTGTACTGAGGTCTGATTGACGGTGATTAGTGTTCATGTGGGATCACCTGGTTTGGCTTATTCAGGTTTTCTTTCTTCAGGTTTTTTTTTTTTTTTGTAAATATTCAAATCAGACTCTGCTGTTCTGTGTGCCTCAGGGAGCAATACATGATCCTTCAGAGCAGGACCATAATGGAATGACAAGGAGCATACTTTAGTGATTGAGCAAATCACAAAACCTGTCTCTGCCTGATCATCCGTGTTGGTGGGTTTGTAACTATATGGATACAACCTGCTGCTGTTTCTTGTCAGGACTATGCCCCATTTCTGGATCCTCTCTGTTAGAGAAAGGGAGCCTGAGCACACCTGCATTGAAATTAAAGGAGTCAGAGAAGGTGAGGTGAATAAAGGCATGTGGAGGATTAGCTGACAGGAGGTCAGAGAGAATGGAAAATACAGAGGAAAGAGATGGTGATGATTTTAGTAGCTTTGGGGAATTGACTTTGGGTCAGGCACTGTGCCCAGTGTTTTAGTATTGATAATATTTTATTTACTTCTCATACTAATCCCCGAGGCAGGTAGTAAAATTATCCCATTTTATAGATGAAAAAACTGGAAGAGAGAGAAGATAAATAATCTGTCAAAATCATAACAATGGCCAGTGGCAGGAGGAGGATTTGAGCATGGGTCTCAGTCTGGAGCACGTGTCTTTAGTTACTGTATTCTACTGCCCATAGATAGAAATAGAACAGGGGAATGTAAGTGGAAAAGAGAAAGGCACATCAAAAGGAAAAAGCAAGTAGAAAAAGAGTAAAACAAGGGTGCACTAGAAATGTGAGTTGTGATGTTTGACTTGAAAGAGATGAGTTTAAAAAGAGGAGGCAGTAAAAAGGAAACTGGAAAGAAAATGGAGTCTCAACCTTTTCTTCATGCATCTAGAAGATTCTTATTCTCACATTTCCCAGAAAATTCCTATTTGATATTGTTTGACTCTGTGTCCCCACCCATATCTCATCTCGAATTGTAATCCCCACATATCAAGGGAGGGACCTGATGGGAGGTGATTAGATCATGGGAGCAGTTTCCCCCATGCTGTTCTCATGATAGTGAGGAAGTTCTCATGAGATCTAATGGTTTTATAAGCATCTGACATTTCCCCTTCTCACTCTCTCTTGGCTGCCACCATGTAATACATGCCTGCTTCCCCTTCCACCATGACAGTAAGTATCCTGAGGTCTTCCCAGCCATGTGGAACTGTGAATCAATTAAACCTCTTTTTTTTTTTTAAATAAATTACCCAGTCTCAGGGAAGTTATTTATAGCAACGTGAAAATGAACTAATACACTATTTACGTTTAATTTCCTTATATAGTTTAGGGAGCTCTGTTTTTGTTACATGTGTACATGGTGACAAAATGTGGGCAGAGACAAAATGTAACTTTGAAGTTAACTCCAAGCCAAGACCCTAAGATATCCTGGTTTTCTTGCTAAGGATTCCTCACAGATCCCTGAAAGAATGCACAGACTCAGAGATGCCACTAAAGAGGCCAGCAGTGCTGCATATGAGCACTGCTATCCTGTACACTGTTTTTGGCTTGGAATGACATTTTCACCAAGTTTAGATAGAATAACAAAACGAAGGCAGTACCTCCTATAAACATAAATGTGTACAGTTTAACAAAGGATTGTTCTTTGTTGTGAGATTATTTCTAAGTTGGGGTAATGAAGTGCCACTTCTTATAAATGACAGAAGCACGTGCTAACTTTTAAAATGTCATTTAGCAAACAAAAGAAAATGAAAGCTCTTTCTCAAAAACAAAATGTTGAGAAAAAAGGAACTTGCAGGATTTAAATGGTATGAAACTATGCATATAAAGTTTGAAAACCTTCAAAACATTACCATATTGTGCATGGTTACATACATATGTGGTAAAATTTTAATTTCACACATAATAATGATTAACATCAAAATTCAGGGTAGTGGATGCCTCTGGTAGGGAGGAGGAGAGGAACTGGATTGGAGACGGTAACCAGGGAGCTTATTTTTATTTGTAAAATTGTATTTCTTAAACTGAGCAGTCAGCACATGGAAATTCAGTTCATCTTTTCACAAACTATACTGAAAGTTTGCAATACACTGAAAAATTTACAAGGAAAGAGTGAAGGAAATTAGAAGAGAAGGGGAAAGTAAAGAAGGAGAGAAGAAGGAAAGGATGAAAGGAAGAGATGGGAGGAAAGATTACATTTTATTAATCCAAGGTGTGGAAAGTAGAGTTAGAAGTGATGTCAAAAACACCAAGATCCATTTTGGGCAGGAAGAGGGCGAAAAACTGAAGGTTAAGTCATATGGCAAAATTTGCTGAGGAATTCAGAAGGAAAGACCCTCAAGATGAGATTTATATTTGTGTACAGCTACAAATTCCCCTGAGCATGCTCTAGCTGTATCCCCAAATCTAAGTTACCTTCATAAGGAGATATATTTACCTTGGCCTGCCTGGACAGGTGGATTTTCAAATGAAACCACTCTTTTGACTAGTGCAGTGGGTGAAAAACACTTCTTAGCTTTACAAAGTCTCTGGTGGGGGTGGGTGTCACAAAAATGATCCTGGCAACTAGTGCAAGCACTGATTCTGAAAATGATGTAGTTTTTCCTTCAAACACAAAAACCATAGTGTGAATTCTGTGATAGGTAAGCATGGAAGAAGGAAGGACATATGGAATCACAAGCAATGTGGCAGCCTTGGTGCTCTTCACTAATCTTTTGTGTGCACAGAACCGAACCCTCTCCTATTTTGCTTCAAGTTCTTCCCAGCTGTCATCTCTGTGTACCTCAGAATTTATCAATAACATAAATATCCTCTTCTTTTCTAGAGAAGAGGAAAATCACAAACTAAGAAACTTTCTGTTTCCTTTTAAAAAATATAATGTCAAACTTGTTGGACGGAATAGCAGCAACAATCATCCTATCAGTGGAGACCATTATAGTCTCCATTTGACAGATGAGGAGACTGAAGGCCAAAGAGGACAAGTAAATTTCTCAGGGTCACCTGAAGGGTGAGCCAGATCTGAGACTTAATTCCAGGTCTGTACAATTCTTCCACCAGATCCTAACTGCCACCTGCTGCTATCACAGTGACGTGTTCCAGTGAGGTTCTCATCCCTCACCCCTGAGTGGACTGCAGAATGGAAATTTATTTCCTCGTACTCCGCAAGAATGAATAAAGCCATGGGGCTGCAACATATTGATGTTGAAACCATGATATTCACTTCTGTCCTATAATGAGTAATGTAATAGCCAGTAGCCAGTGTGTCCACATCTATTTTTTAAAATAACATTGTCAGCCTTTATATATTGTTTTTGCCATCTATTTTTCCCACCACTAGACCAGTCCTTTGCAGAGTTTTTAAGCCTCAATGGCAACTGGCTATGCTAAGTGAAGATAGTTTTTGCCCTTATTGCCATATTTTAAGTCACTCCAAAGTCTTCTACTAGCTCAAGCAGGAACTTAATCATCCTCCATTGCACACCCCCCGCCACCACCAAAAGGTCCTGTTAGTAATCATCACCAAATGGATGCCTCAATTATGCCTCTGAACTAGTCTGTTGACCTCACTGTGTCTACCTTTTCCACCCCTCTCTGCTTTGGTTGACAAGCAATTCTTGCAAAGCTACTTGAGGGAGTATTGCTGTGGCTTCCATGGCTTTTTTTTTTTTTTAACCCTCCACGTAATATTGCCTTCAGAAATGGTTTTTTTTTTTTTTTTTTTAATGATAACAAACCTAAGATCCTTAGGGTGCCATAACAGTGCTAGGCTTTAGGTAGAGTCTGGAATTTTTTGAGACTCTGTACTGTGCTTTTTCACTTGAACCCAGGAGCAGCAGCGTTTGTGTCCATGGTTCATAAAAGTATATTGCCCACACTAACAACAGCTGAAGTCTAGCTCAGCCAGCCAAATTTCCTTATTGCATGTCATTAAATCATGCAGTTATAGAACTTTGAGTTAACAAGGACAGCGAAGATACTCTATATTAACCTTGTATATGGTACTAAATTTCCATTTATATCAGTTGTTTCCTAACATTAGCACGTATCAGTATCACAAGAAAGGCTTGTTAACAAGTGTGTTGTAAGTTTATTTATATAGTTGCTGCCTTGACATCCATTTTTAAACCTGATATAAGTTGTTGGAAGCAGTCATACTCCATTGCCTTTGACCTAGTTAAAGCTTCCTTTCCCTGTGTGGTTGTTTATTATATAGCCTCCTTCTTCCTCATCTCACTGACCCCAAGCCCAACACACTCAATAGCTGCTGACCATGATAAAACCTATGGTCAATACCAGAGTCATATAAATAAGTTTCCCCTTTTCCTGAGTGTTTTTTTTTAACTAGACAATCCATAGCCCCTTCAGGAAAGCATAAATGATAATGCCTATGGGTCTTAATAATGGCGTAGCCCCACAGGTTCTCTCTCACCCTTTCTCTCTCACTCCCCACCCTCTGGTTGAGATCCTTGATATCTATAGCCTTCTTGTCAGTCTCTCATCAGCATCCCTAATCTCTCTGGGACCTCTGAATAATAAAGTTTACTTAATTGAGCTCAAACTGCAAACCTTGTTTCATGGGAAGGAGCTCAAATCTCAGTTCAGTTCTCTTCATTTACGTGCATTTTGGTTTCACATCCTCATTGTGTCTCCCCTGACACAGACAACTGAACCTAACTTTATTCCCCAGTTAAGTTCTCCTAGAGAGTGGCTATCTTGGCTTATGGTCCCTCTGGACAGAGAGATCTCAAGACCAATGTACCCTAGAACTTAAAGTATAATAAAAAAAAAATATATATATATATATAAAAAGAAAAAGAAAACCATAATAGTAAGAATCACAATAAAGTGTTTCTGGCAGTGTGAATGCACTGACAAAAATTCTTTTAACTTATTTTATCAGAAAATGCTTTATTTTACCTCATTCTTGAAATTTATTTAGTTGGATATAGAATTCTGTGTTGACAGTTGTTTTCCTTAAGCACTTCAAAGATATTGTTCTTCTGTTTTCTGGCCTCCATTATTCCAAAAAGAAGTCAGCTGCCATTTAAATCATGCTCCCCTTTTATGTTATATGCCAGTCTTTCCTGGCTGCTTTCAAGATGTTCTCTTTATCTTTAGTTTTCAGTAGTTTGACTATAATATGCTTAGGAAATTTTCTTCAAATTTATCCTGCTTGAGGTTCTGTGAAATTCTTGAACTTATAAATTTATGTCTCTCCTTTCTGTGTTGCCCAGGCTGGTCTCAAACTCCTGGTCTCATGTAATCTTCCCACCTCAGCCTCTGAAAGCATTGGGATTACAGGAATGAGCCACTGCACCCAGCCTAATATCCTTACTAAGTGCTCAGTCTGTCACACCTTTATTGTTGTATGTCAAATATACTTTCTTAGTTTTTGTACAATGGACAGGCTGAGAATTTCAAAATCTTTAATTTTGGTTCCTTTTTGCTTGCTTAAATTTCATATTCAATTAATTTATTTCCCCTTGTATTTTTCTATAAGGTGTCAGGAGGAACAAGGCCACTCTTTCAACACTTTGCTTAGAAAACTGTTTAGCTAAATATCTGGTTTCATTGCTCAGAGGTTCTACCTCTCATAAAACACTAGAACTCAAACACGGTTTATCCAAGTTCTTTGCCACTTTATAACAAGGATTGCCTTTTCTCTAGTTTCCAATAACATGTTCCTCATTTCCATGTGAGACATAATCAGAATGACCTTTACCATCCATATTTCTACCAATATTCTGGTCATCGTATTGTCTAAGAAGACAGAAGCTTTCTCTTTCTTTCTGAGATCTCACCAGAATTGCCTTCAAATGGCCATTCATGATAATCTAGGCTTTTTCTAGCATATACCTAAAAACTCTTTCAGCTTCCACTCAGTACTCAGTTCCAAAGCCACTTCCACATTTTTGGGTGTTTGTTACAGCAACACCTTCACTTCTTGGTACCAATTTTTGTCTTAATTTGGACTGCTGTAACAAAACACTATATACTGGGGGGCTTATAAACAACAGAAATTTATCTGTCTCTGCTTCAGTGGCTAGAAGTCTGAGATCAGGGTGTCAGCATGGTCAGGTTTTGGTGAAGCCCTCTTCTGCATTACAGGTGGCTGACCTCTCATATCTTCAGGAGTAAGAAAAAGCAGAACTCTCTGGGGTTCATTTATATAAAAAGAGCATTAATTCCATTCATGAGGGCTCTGTCCTCATGACCTGATCATGTCTGAAAAGCCTCACTTCCTAATATCACCACATTGCGGATTAGGACTTCAAGAAATGAAGATGAGGGCAACACAAATATTCAGTCTACAACAATAACCTTTGAAGTTACTTTTATTTTATATTTTTAATGAAAACAATATAGGAACAGATTAATGGCATGTTAATCTGACACAACTTATAATACACAACTTATATTAAAAATTGGCAATCCCCTACATCCTTCCTCTCCTTACTCAAGTTTTGCTTTTAGATATACTTATTAGCTGTTTTGATATTTCTATTTCAGAAATTATTTACTGGCTTACTATTTAGGAAGATAAATAATTATTTCTCTTACCCTGTCCCCCACCCATGTGTACACAACACACACACACACACACACACACACACACACACACACACACATATCTTTCCCCTTCTCTTCCATTTGGAAGATCACAATTTTGGTCAATTATAGGGTTTTACATTAACAAATTACCACAAATTAATGGCTCAGTTAACACAAATTTATTATTTTATAGTTTTAGGTCGAAAGTAAAAATTAGTCCATAAGGATAAAGTCAAGGTGTTAGCAAGGCTGATTCCTTCTGGAGACTGTACGGGAGAATCTGTTTTCTTTGCCTTCTAAAAGTCTTCTGTATTCCTTGGCTGTGGCCCCGTCCTCCATGTTCAAAATCAGCAATGTAACGTCCTCAAATCTCTCTTTGATTATTTGGCTTCTGTTTTAATTGCACATCTCTCACTATAAGCCTTCTACCCCTCTCTCTTAGAAGAGCCCTTGAAATTACGTTAGCCTCAATTGGAGAATCAAGAATAGTTTCTCATTTCAAGGTTCTTAGTTATATCTGCAAATCCCCTTTGCTACAAAGGGTAGCATATTTACAGATCTGGGGATTAGGGCATAGACATCTTTGGAGGAAGAGGAGCATCATTCTGCCTTCCACACTAGGATCATATAAATGTTCCTCACAGATGAATCACATGGTATACTATGATTATTTTTCATTCCTAATACCATTTTTGTTGGTGTTAATAATTAACTTTTGTTGTTTGCTTAATTTTTTATGTACTTGCACAAATTCTTCTAACCATGAAACTCTTCTTAATATGACAAAACACATCAGTTAAACTGTTAGTCCATTTTCTTTCTGGAGATTTCCTTCCTAAAACCCTATGTCTTCCTGCTTCTATGTGGAGCAATTGTTCTTTAAACCAGAGGCCAATGGATATTCTGTAAAGGACAAGATATTACATACTTTAGGCTTTATGGGACATACAGTCTCTGTCTCAACTACTCAACTCTGCCTTTGTATATAAAAACAGACATGGACAATATGTAAATAAATAGGCTGGTTATATTCCAATAAAACTTTACTTACAAAAGCCAGCAAATTGAGAAAGACAGTTGGAAAGAGACACATATAGATCAATGAGATACAATAAAGAACCCAGAAACAGGTTTACACAAATATGCCCAACTAATTTATTTTTTAATTTTTATAATTTTTAAATATTTTCCATTTTTATTTTAGATTCAGGGGGTATATGTACAGATTTGTTACATGGGTATACTGAGTGATGCTCAGGTTTGGGATATGATTTATCCCATCACCCAGATTGAGCATGGTACCCAATAGTTTTTCAACCCTTACCCCCTCCCTTCCTCCCTATTCTAGTAGTCCCCACTATTGTTGCCATTTTTATGTCCATGAGTACCCAAGGTTTAGCTCCCACTTATAAGTGAGAACATGTGGTATTTGGTTTTCTGTTCCTGCGTTCAGTTGCTTAGCGTAATGGCCTCCAGCTGCATTCATGTTGCTGCAAAAGACATGATTTCATTCTTTTTTATGGTTGCATAGTATTCCATAGTGTATATGTACCACATTTTCTTTGTCCAATCTCTCATTGATAGGTTGATTCCATGTCTTTGCTATTGTGAATAGTACTGTGATGAACTTACAAGTGCATGTGTCTCTTTGGTAGAATAATTCATTTTCTTTCAGATATATACCCAGTAATGGCATTGCTGGGTCAAATGGTAGTTCTGTTTTAAGTTCTTTGAGAAATCTACAAACTGCTTTCCACAGTGGCTAAACTAATTTACAATCCCACCAACAGTGTATAAACATTCCCTTTTCTCTACAGCCTTGCCAGCATCGGTTGCTTTTTGACTTTTTAATAATAGTCACTCTGGTGTGAGATAACATCTCACTGTGGTTTTGATTTGTATTTCCTTGATTATTAGTGATGTTGGGCATTTTTTCACATTCGTTGGCCATGTGTATGTCTTCTTTACAGAAGTGCATGTTCATGTTTTTTGCCGACTTTTAATGAGGTTTTATATGTATTTGCTTGTTAAATTGTTTACGTTTCCTACAGATTCTCGATATTGGGCCTTTGTTAGATTATAGTGCAAAATATTTTCTACCATTCTGTAGGTTATCTGTATACTCTGTTGACAGTTTCTTTTGCTGTGCAGAAGCTATTTAGTTTAATTAGGTCCCACTTGTTGATTTTTATTTTTGTTGTAATTGCTTTTGAGACTTAGTCAAAAATTCTTTCCCAAGGCCAATATCCAGAATGGTGCTTCTTAGGTTTTCTTCTAGGATTCTTACAGTTTGAGGTCTTACATTTAAATCCTTAACCCATGTTGATTTAATTCTTGTGTATGGTGAAAGGTATGGGTCCAGCTTCATTCTTCTGCATATGGCTAGCCAGTTATCCCAGCACCATTTATTAAATAGGGAGTCTTTTTCCTGTTCCTTTTTTTGTTGAATTTGTCAAAGATCAGATGACTGTAGGAGTATGCCTTTATTTCTGGGTTCTCTATTTTATTCTATTGGCCTATGTGTTCATTTTTGTACCAGTACCATGTTGTTTTGGTTACTGTAGCTTATATGATAGTTGGAAGTCGGGTAATGTGATGCTCCGGTTGTGTTCTTTTTCTTTAGGATCGCTTTGGCTACTTGGGCTCTTTCTTGGTTACATACAAAATTTAGAATAGTATTTTTCTAATTCTGTGAAAAATGATGTTGGTACTTTAATAGGAATAGCATTGAATCTGTAGACTGCTTTGGGCAGTATGGCCATTTTAACAATATTGATTCTTCCAATCCATGAGCATGGACTGTTTTTCTATTTGTGTCATCTATGATTTCTTTCATTAGTGTTTTGTAGTTCTTCTTGTAGAGGTCTTTCACTTCCTTTGTTAGATGTATTCCTAGGTATTTCATTTTTTTGTGGCTACTATAAATAGAATTGCATTCTTGATTTGGCTCTCAGCTTGAATGTTATTGGTGTATAGAAATGTTACTGATTTTTCTACATTGATTTTGTATCCTGAAACTTTACTGAAGTTGTTTATTAGTTCCAAGAGCCTTCTGGCAGAGTCTCTAGGGATTTCTAGGTATAGAATTATGTCATCAGCAAAGAGAGGTTGACTTCCTATTTTCCTATTTGGATAACTTTTATTTATTTCTCTTGCCTGGTTGCTCTGGCTAGGACTTCCAGTATCATGTTGATAGGAGTGGTGAGAGTGGGCATACTTGTCTTGTTCCAGTTCTTAGGAAGAATGCTTCCCTCAGCTTTTGCCTGTTTAGTATGTTGTTGGCTGTGGGTTTGTCATAGATGGCTGTTATTATTTTGAGGTATGTTTCTTCAATTCCTAGTTTGATGAGTGCTTTTATCATGAAGGCATGTTGGATTTTATCAAAAGCTTTTTCTGCATCTATTGAGATGAACATAAGGTTTTTGTTTTAAATTCTGTCCAACATACCTATCGGAATATTTAAAATTAAAAAAATAGAAATAATACAAATGCTGGTGAGGATGTAAAGAAACTGGGTTACTTATACATTGCTAATGGAAATATAAAAATGTATGTTCTGGAAAACAGTTTGGCAGTTTCTTAGAAGACAAAACATGCAGTTAACCATATGAACCAGAGACTGTATGCTTGGGCAATTATCTCAGAAAAATGAAAACTTATGTTTATACAAACACCTGTACATGAAAGTTTTCATGCAGCTTTATTGATAATAACCCAAACTGGAAATAATGTAGATGTTCTTAAGTGGATGAAGGGTTAAACAGTTCATGGTACATCCATACTATGGAACAGTACTCAGCAATAAAAAGGAACAAGCTGCTGATACACAGGACTTGAATAAATCGCAAGAGGATGATGTTGATTTTTAAAAAGCCTCTCTTAAAAGTTTACATACTGTATTGTTTAATTGATGTAACATTCATGAGATGACAAAATTATTAAAATGGAAAACAGATAAGTGATTGTGGTGGTGGATACATAAATCAGTGCATATAATACAATTTTATAGAACTAAATACACATGTACACACATATACACATAAGTAAGTACAAATAAAACTAAGATTGGTGGATTATGTCAATGTTAACATTCTAGTTGTAAAAGTGTAGTATACTTTCGTATTATGTTACCATTGGGGGAAACTGGGTAAAGAACACACAGGATCTTTGTATATTTATCCACAACTGCATGTGAATCTTGGTGTAATCTGCTAACCTACTCTAAACCAACTGTGTAACTCTCGTCTTGGGATTTCTGTGTTCTTCTGAAATGCCTGTTAATTGGATAATGAGTCTCCTAGATTGATCCTCCAATGTTCTTACATTTTAATTTTTCATAACTCATTTTCTTTTTAGAATAAACTTTAGGTGCAATTTACATACAATAAAATTTATTAAATTAATGTATATTATTAAATGCATTTTGACAAATGTATATAATTCTAATATAGGACAATTCCCATAATCCCTAAAATGTTCCCTTATCTCCATTGTAGTCAGTTCCCTCCCTTGCAACAAATAATCTGCTCTCTGACATTATAGTTTTTGTCTTTCCAATAATTTTGTTAAAATGTAATTGTATTTCTGAAGGACCTCCTATTACCTTCAGAGCTCCCTGTGAGATCTGCTGAGGCCACTTTTGCAACTGCATTTCTGTTCAACTTCTCCCTCTGCTTAGTCCTGCTTCCTTTGCTTTCTCACAAGTGTCCCTGAGAGCAATCTCCAGAAAACCTCCTACTTGCACATCTCAGATTCTGAATTTGCTGCCTTGGAAACCCAACCTGTGACACTGGTTTTTGACAATTTTACTTTTAGGTACCTAGGCATGGTATCTTTATTTATCTTGATCAGTGTTCACTATGCCTATTCAATCTGAAAAGACTTGTCATTGTTCAGTCCTTGGACTTTAAACAATTTTTTTTTAAATTATCTATTTCCTTTAAATTTTTCTTAAAAATTCTCTCTGTTTTCTCCTATTGAATGGATTTCAAAATACCTGCATTAATATTCCCTTTCTGTTAATTCTCCTTTCATACTCTCTAATTGTACCTTTGCACTGCATTCTGAGAGAAGTCCTCAGCTAGGTCTTCAGATTAATTTAGTGATTCAAATTGATGGGCTATCTGGCCCATCAATTGGGTCTTTATAGTAGTTGCATAACCTACTTTCTTAGTTCTTCATTTTTAACCTGTTCTTATTTAATTCACATGATATTCCATTATAACACTCTGAGGCTATTACTTTGATTTATTTTAATTAATTGTTCAGTTTGCTCTTTTAACTAGTTTTTTAGTATTCTGTTTGTTGAATTCAGTGTCTTTTTTTGTAATGAATTTCCAAAATATTGGGTTTTTTGTTTGTTTGTTTGTTTGTTTTGACGGAGTCTCGCTCTGTCACCCAGGCTGGAATGCAGTGGCGCAATCTCGGCTTACTGCAAGCTCCGCCTCCCGGATTCACGCCATTCTGTCTCAGCCTCCTGAGTAGCTGGGACTACAGGCGCCCACCAACACGCCCGGCTAATTTTTTGTATTTTTAGTACAGACGGGGTTTCACCGTGTTAGCCAGGATGGTCTCGATCTCCTGACCTCGTGATCTGCCCGCCTTGGCCTCCCAAAGTGCTGGGATTACAGGCGTGAGCCACCGTGCCCGGCCTAATATTGGGTGTTTCTTGCTTGTGCATTCATTTTTATGTAAGACCCTCCCTATTCTGTTTTTAGTGGATGTGGTTTTCTTTGGGGAAGCAATCCTGCTTCAGGTGATTTGGGGTACTGAAACCATAAATATACTTCAAGGAGGTATACCTATTTTGGAGGGTATGGGTTTCCTCCTTCTTCTTGGGTGCCGTAAGTTATCTAATACATTGCCCTTCCTTTCTTGCCCCAATACTTGTGTTCATAATTTTAGCCTGAAGTTTGATGTTCTGCTGGCTGCTTCTTGATACAAATGAAAATGGGGTGTGATCATCTTATGGGGTCAACCCATGTGGGCAATTAAAATATATTTCTTTAACCACTCACCTAGATGTTTTGCCAGGGGTCTTTCTAACCCCCTACATCCTTACCTTTAACTTGAATTACCTCCAGAGCCATGGCACCTTTCCTAAGAGTCCTCTCACATGCTTTAGACAATAGTTTCTTCTGTTAACCCAGTCCCATGTGTATATTTTCTTTCATGGACTCCTTCATGATCACTGGTGTACCTTTTTGTGTTACAGGTCTTTTATGAATTTATTCCTTCAAACAATGTCTTTTCTAAGGAGTTGAATCAGTAAATGGCAGCAGGAATTTGTATTCAGTTCATTCTTCAACTCTTAAAAAAGTGTTTGGAATAGTTTAAATAGCACCAGAATTATTATTTTAAGTTTCAATAGAACTTATCTTTTAAAAAATCCTCTGGGCTTCAATTAGGTGTAAATTTTGACTACTGATAGCATTTCTTCCATAAATATGGTCTTTCTAGGTTTTCTATATCTTGGTAACTTTGATCAGTTGTATTTTGCTAAAAAAAATCCATTCCTTTTATTTAGATACTTTAATCTGATATAAATTTGGCATAGTAAATTCTTATAATTTAAAAGCTCTGCTATTTGCTATATGTCTTAGAAAATATATTTTACAAATACATTTTTTGTGTGTAATGAGCAACTTTTAGGGTAAAGATTATTATTCTTATTTTCTCTACAGTGTGTGAGCACAGTGCTTTTTATAATATTGGTTTACTTTTCTTTGTAATCCATTTGAAAGTATTCATTGTACTGCTGTTGGTCATGGTTCAGAGAACCAAGACTTTTTGCCAACACCAGGTGTATGGCTAATAATTTACTTTATTATACACCATTTATCTTGAAAGCTATGGCTATCAACAGAAAGTAATGAAAATTAGCATGACTTCTAATTTACTTAGTTTCATAATTATATATCTCCTGGATATGTTATTTGTACTGTTGTGAATTAGCAGGTTTGGTAATCTTGGTAGACTCTCCAGCTTCTCTTAGCTACATGCTCAAGGAAAAGTAAGTACATGTTCCTAGGTGACTCCATGGCCATTTCTGTGAATATACTAGGGAGATATTAATAACCATTGCACGGCAGGGCGCAGTGGCTCACGCCTGTAATCCCAGCACTTTGGGAGGCCGAGGCGGGCGGATCACAAGGTCAGGAGATCAAAACCATCCTGACTAACATGGTGAAACCCTGTCTCCACTAAAAAATACAAAAAAATTAGCCGGGCATGGTGGTGGGTGCCTGTAGTCCAGGCTACTCGGGAGGCCGAAGCAGGAGAATGGCGTGAACCTGGGAGGCGGAGCTTGCAGTGAGCTGAGATTGCACCACTGCACTCTAGCCTGGGCAACAGAGCAAGACTCTGTCTCAAATAATAATAATAATAATAATAACCATTACACATCTCTTATTCCTGTGGTGTTTGCAATTTTTCTTAGCATTTCTAAAAGCAGGGAATAGCTTTCTTTTCTCAGCATATTCAAAATAATCTACAAAAGAGCTTCAAATCAATCTATAAATCTGAGTACAATGCTTTCTCTCTTTTTTCTCTGTTGTTGGGACCTTTCAAAATCCACTTTTTATTAGTGGTTTCCTTCTGCCACTGTATTTTTACAGAATAATTTCTTATATCTTATCTAAGAATTTTTCTCCCTCTCAAATAAACCAGGTTTAGATCTCAAATCTAGAAATCACTAGCTATGAGAATGTGGGCAAATCACTTAACCTCTCTGAGTATAGTTGTCTCATTTGCAAAATGGGGGGGTTAAAATTATTTCCATGTCATAAGATTGTTATGAAGATAAAACAAGATAAGGTATGTATGTTGTTTAGCTTAGTACATAGGAATCAATAAATATTAGGTGGTATCGTCAGATATTATAATCATTGTCATCATTCATATGTGCTAACTGCTTTTCCTCAACATCATGTAAAAAACTTCTAGCTTAACCTTGCAGGAAATATTTGGGGTGGTCATATATAGTAGGAAAGTAGCCATAGCACCCTATCCAACAGGTCTTTGTTACAAATATCTGTCTCTATCTACTAGATCTGTAGCCTAGTGTTCCTACATGGGCACCATCTGTGCCTTATCAGGAGAAATTCAGCCAGATATCAGGCAAAATTCACCCCCGATATTTCACATAGGTTCTTTTCTATTTTCCCTAAGCGTCCGCCGGTTTGAGAAATAAAGGGACAGAGTACAAAAGAGAGAAATTTTAAAGCTGGGTGTCCGGGGGAGACATCACATGTCAGTAGGTTCCATGATGCCCCCTGAGCCATAAAACCAGCAAGGGGAGGGAGTGTATGAATAGGGTGTGGGTCAGAGAGATCACATACTTCACAAGGTAATAGAATATCACAAGGCAAATGGAGGCAGGGCGAGATCACAGGACCACAGGACCAGGGCGAAATTAAAATTGCTAATGAAGTTTTTGACACCATTGTAATTGATAACATCTTATCAGGAGACAGGGTTTGAGAGCAACTGGTCTGACCAAAATTTATTAGGTGGGAATTTCCTTGTCCTAACAAGCCTGGGAGCACTATGGGAGACTGGGGCTTATTTCATCCCTACAGGCTCGATCATAGAAGATGGCCACACCCAAGGAAGCCATTTCAGAGGCCCACCCTCAGGGGTTCATTCTCTTTCTCAGGGATGTTCCTTGCTGAGAAAAAGAATTGAGCGATATTTCTCCCATTTGCTTTTGAAAGAAGAGAAATATGGCTCTGTTCCACCTGGCTCACTGGCAGTCAGAGTTTAAGGTTATCTCTCTTGTTCCCTGAACATTGCTGTTATCCTGTTCTTTTTTCAAGGTGCCCAGATTTCATATTGTTCAAACACGCATGCTCTACAATTTGTGCAGTTAATGTAATCATCACAGGGTCCTGAGGTGACATACATCCTCCTCAGCTTACAAGATGACAGGATTAAGAGACTAAAGTAAAGACAGGCATAGGAAATCACAAGGGTATTGATTGGGGAAGTGATAAGTGTCCATGAAATCTTCACAATTTATGTTTAGAGATTGCAGTAAAGACAGGCATAAGAAATTATAAAAGTATTAATTTGGGGAACTAATAAATGTCCATGAAATCTTCACAATCCACATTCTTGTGCCATGGCTTCAGCCGGTCCCTCCATTTGGGGTCCCTGACTTCCCGCAACAGTGCCTGTTTGTGGTGTTCCTGGAAAGCATACTTCTAAAGCCTGCTTATTCTCTCCTCTCTCTCTGGAAGTGATAACCTGCCAACCTCTGAGTGCTAGCAATTTGCAAGGTATTGATTTACCTGACTCTTGCACTCCCTCCTAGAACACACACACACACGTTGTAAAACTTGTTTCTTCCTTTATACAATTGGATTTCTCTTATTTTCTATGTTCTGACAATAGTCCAATTTCGATCTTTGCTCTAGAATTTTAGTGCTGTGTTTTCCTTTTAAACCAGTTCTTTCAGCACTGATATCAGCTAATGCCCCTAACTCATCTCTACTGATATCAGTAATACCCCAATCCCATTTCTACTGACATCTGCTAATACCCAAACCCATCTTCACCAATATGAGCTAATGCCTCAAATCCCTTTCCACAGAGATTGGGGTAGAGATGGGTTTGGGGCATTAGCGGATGTCAGTGCTGAAAGAATGGGTTTAAAAAAGAAACAGCAATACATTTTTGCAGCAAAGATTAAAATTATAACAATAAAGTATAAAAATGAATTTAAAATATTTATTTATAAATATAATAAGCAACACTTCTTGAGTACTTACAGTGTGCCAGTCACTCAGCAAGAACGTTCCTTAGGCTATAACATGTCTTCCTGCCAAACAATTCTAGAGGTAGTTTGTGCTATTATCCTCATTTTGTGGATGAGAAAACAGAGACTTGGTTTGAATCACTGACTCATGGTCACAGACATCCATTGAGCAGTGAACTGGGACACAAGTCTAGGGTTTGAGGGGTTCTCCTCTTGAATCTAAACCAACTGAGAGAAACAAAATAGTCAGAAGGTTGAGGATCAAAAGACTGGCTCTTTTGCTGACATAAGTTAGATTGGAGAGGCTGGGCGCAGTGGCTCACACCTGTAATCCCAGCACTTTGGGAGGCCAAGGCGGGCAGATCACCTGAGCTTAGGAGTTTGATACCACCCTGGGCAACATGGTGAAACCCTGTCTCTACTAAAAAATAAAAAAAAAATTTGCCGGGCGTGGTGGTGCTGGCCTGTATTCCCGGCTACTCAGGAGGCTGAGGCATGAGAATCGCTTGAGCCCGGGGGGCGGAGGCTGCGGTGAGCCGAGATCGTGCCACTGCACTTCAGCTTGGGCCACAGAGTGAGACTCTGTCTCAAAAACAAACCAATGAGACTGGAGAACATGGCTCCCCACTTCTCAGTGCCCCTGAATTTAGACCATGGGAAAGCTTGGCTCTGCTGGGCAGACATGCCTAACTAGCTCACTTTATATTGCTCCAAGTTGTAGATGGGGGAAATAGAGAGTAAATCTTTGTGTATTTTTCTTATTACAAATGAAAACTGAATTGTAGGACATGGTTTAAGTATGTTATCCAAGTGATTTCCTATACTAAATCTCAGAACTACATAGACTCAGCCACCAGAGTCCTACCACTATGAGCCTTTATGGGTAGATTGGCAAGTTTCTGGAGTTGTCATCAAATTGCTCTCCACTCTCTTTGGCTCCCTTAATGCCATAATTCTTGTCCATTCTTTCCTTGGGACCTAAAGCAATTGGGATATGCCTGGGCCAAGGCTTGGTGTTTTTCCTCTTTAGGCCAATTATGTGAAACTCAGGCCTGGAGCTTTCCTTTCTGTGATCCCAGACTGTTTGCTCCAGCCATGTTCGAGGAGTAAAGGGAAAGTAAAAGTCTCTAACTCCTGAGAATGAGTCTAAGTGAGACTTCAACCTTCAACTATAATGAATGTACCCATTCCTCCATGTCAGTGATGGTTACGTTAACATCACTGTGCATACCACCTGATGTTGTCATAAAAAGATCAGAGTCTTAGGCCAGCCTCCCAGCACCTCATGCCCCCCACCTTATGCTTATATTAGAAGAAGCCTTCAGGATGTTTTTTTTTCATATTTGGGATAGTCCCTACACATGCCCATTATGGAGTGGAATATTTTATGATTGTTATTTTTTGCTGTCTTCATTCAAGTTGTGCTTTACTATTTTATTAAAAATTCCTGAATTTCTAAACATTAAGACATTACAACTTACTACTGACACAAGAATGACAATGCAGTAACAAGAAAATGAAAGTAGAAGACAAATGACTTAGAAACAATAACAACTCTATAATTCCAAGATAATTTAAGCAGGCAAGTTTAAAGTGTTTCATAAAGGTGCAAAGCAAGCTCTCAGCCTGCAGTGATGCACCACACCAGCAGATGGCACTGAATAGCTTCTCAGGTGCCACAGGAAGACCATTTACCAATGGTGGTTGCAACCTCTTAATTAGCTTGTGCTGAGCAGTTCATATTATAATTTATTAATTATTTTTACTACTTATTGCCATTATTTTCCTTCCTTCCTTCCTTCCTTCCTTCCTTCCTTCCTTCCTTCCTTCCTTCCTTCCTTCCCCCCTTCCTCTCTCCCTCCCTCCCTCCCTCCCTCACTCACTCCTTCCCTTCCTCCCTCCCTCCCTCGCTCCTTCCCTTCTTCCCTCGTTCTTTTCTTCCTACCTTCCTCCCTCCCTCCCTCCTTCTTCAGTAAAACTGACTAATAAAATTTGTATATATTTAAGGTATACAATGTGATGTTTTAATATATGTACACATTGTGAAATGATTATCCCAATCAAGCTAATTTTGTGTGTATGTGTGTGTGGTGAGAATACTTAAGATTTACTCTGTTAGCAAATTTAGTATTTAATAACATTATTATTAACTGTAATCACCATCCTGTACATTAGGTCTCCAGAAGTGACTCATTGCATAACTGGAAGTTTGTACCCTTTGACCAGCATCTCCCTATTTCCTCTGCTCCTTGATCACTGGTAGGTAACCACTCTTCTACTCTCTATTTCTGTTATATTCTGTTATTTAAGATTTCATATATGAGTGAGATCATTCAGTATTTGTCTCTTTGTGGCTGGATTATTTCACTTAGCCTGATGTTCTTCAGATTCATTCACGTTGTCAAAAATGGCAGGATTTCTTCTTTTGTTAAGGCTGAATAATATTCCATTATATATACAGTAGTCCTCTTTTATCCATGGGGATGTGTTCCAAGATCCCCAGTGGATGTCAGAAACCACAGATAGTACCAAACACTATATATATACTATGTTTTTTTCCTGTACATAATTGCCTATGATAAAGTTTAATATATAAATTAGACCGTGTAAGAAATCGAGAGCAATAACTAAGAATAAAATAGAACAATTATAACAATAGACTGTAATTAAAGTTAGGTATATGTGGTCTTTCTCTCTCTCTATATAAATATCTTATTGTACTTTACTCATCTATTTTTAGACCATGGATGACTAGGGGTAACTGAAACCCCGGAAAGTAAAGCTGTGAATAAGAGGGAGTAAGTGGAGCCTATAGTGTGTGTATCACATTTTCTTTATATAGCTTTCCATTGGCAGACACGTAGGTTGTTTCTGTATCTTGGTTATTATGAATAATAATATGATGAACAGGCAAGTGCATGTTCTTCGACATGCAAGTGCAAGTTCTTCGACATACTGTTTTCATTTCCTTTGTATATATACCCAGAAGTGGGATTGTTGGGTCATATTGTGTCTCTAGTTTTAATTTTTTGAGCACTCTCTATGCTTTTTTTAAAAAAAATGACTATACCAATTTACATTCCCACTAACAATGTATAAGGGTTTCCATTTTTCCATGTGTGATTAAAAAGAATATGCATTCTGCTGCTGTTGAATCAAATGTTTTGCATATCCTGTTAGGTCCATTTGGTCTAAAGAGTAGTTGAAGTGTGCTATTTCCTTATCAATTTTCTGTCTTGATGAGCTATCCATTGTCAAAAGTAAGGTATTGAAGTCCACTTCTATAATTATATTGCTGTCTATTTCTCCCTTCAGAGCTGATAATATTTGCTTGATGTATTTAGCCTTTCTGTTACTGGGTGCATATGTATGTAGAATTATAATATCCTTTTGATGGATGACTCCTTAATCATCAAATAATGACATTGTCTCTTGTGATAGTTTTTAACTTAAAGTCTATTTTGTCTCATATAAATATATCTGTTCCTTGTTTATTCCTTCATTTCTTGAAGAAGAAATGAACTTCTTCAGCTTTCCTTTGTCTGGGAAAGTCTTTATCTCTTCCTCATTTCTGTAGGACAGATTTTCTGAGTACAGTATTATGGGTTGGCAGGTTTCTATTTTTTCTTTCAACACTTTAAATATGTCATCCTACTGTCTCCTGGCTTGCATGGTTCCTGCTGATGTATCTGCTGATATGGTTATGGGGAATTCCCATGTATTTGATGAGCTTCTCTTCTCTTGCTTTCAAAATACTCTGTCTTTGATTTTTGACAGTTTGATTACAATGTGTCCTTGTGAAGTCTTCTTTGGGTTGAAACTATTTGAAGACTTCAAGCTTCATATACCTGTATGTCCATATCCTCTCCAGATTTGTGGAGTTTTCAGCCATTACTACTTTAAATTAGCTTTCTTCTCCTTTTTCTCTTCTTTTGCTGAGAGCACTGTAATGCTAATGTGAGCTCTCTTGGTGGTGTCCTATAAATCCCATAGACTTTCTTCACTCCTTTTTGTTTTTTCCTCCTGTAACTGGACCATTTCAAATGATTTGTCTTCAAATTCACAGATTCTTTCTTTTGCTTGACCAAGTCTACCATTGACTCCCTCTATTGCATTTTTCTATTTCATTCATTATATTCTTCAGCTCCAGAATTTCTATTTGGTTCTTTCTATGATTTCTAAGTCTATCAAACTTCTTGTTTTGCTCATGTGTTGTGTTTCTAAATTTGTTGAGTTGTCTGTGTTCTCTTGTAGTTCACTGAGATGTCTTAAAACAATATTTTTCATCTTTGTTAGGCAATTGATCATAATTTCTTTGGGGTCACTTACTAGAATATTTTGGGGTTCCATTGATGATGTCCTGTTTTCTTGAATTTTTGTGTACCCTGAAGTCCAGTGTTGCTGTCTTCACTTTTGCAGAAGCAGTCACCTCCTACAGTCTTTACTGACTGGCTTTGGAAAAGAAAGACCTTTGCCAATCAGCCCAACTAGGGATTTTGAGACTTTCTCAGATTTTTTCTGTGGACATGCCCACTTCATACCTCTTGTTCCCTCTTGGTGGGAATTCTAAGATTGTATGCCTTCTCTCAATCCTGCAAAGCCAGGCTGGGTGATGAAAGCCTCTCATTTGTTTTCTCTAGGATGGCACTCTGAAACGTTGAAGTTTGTATACCTTCTGTCAGTTCCACAGCACTTGTTGTCCATGAGGTTGTGCAGGAAGTCAGCATTTGGGGAGGGACTCAGTGCATTTGGAGTGCTCCTGGGCTAGTTGTTGTTGTTCTGCGGATAAAGCCTGGGCCCAAGCAGCTCACAGATAGGCTTCCTGATGGAGTCCATGGAATGGTTAGCAAGGTCTGTGGCCTTTCTTCGTTGCTCCCATCTTCTCCCAACCACTCAGCTACACAGATCACATCAGTATGTTGGGTGAAATGAGAAAGAAGTGGGCCTCTTGGGAGGCATCCCACATGGCTGGGAAAGCTGAGTGCTCACTCATGCCCCTCTCACTTTCCAACTTGGGAGACCTAACGGGGTCTCTTTTTGGCACTGAACTATGCTTCCTTGGAGAGGGGTGACACAGGTAAAGTGAAATTGTTCTTACTTTCTTCAATGTGTTTATTCTTGGATTTTTTTTTTTTTTTTGCCCTAACACTGTACTAGAACTTCTTTACTGGACTCTCATACTTCCATGATGGTATTTTTGTTTGTGGGTATTGGTCAAAGTGGATGTTTCTGTAGGGGGATGATGGTAGAAAGCTCTTATTCTGCCATCTTGCTAATGTCACTCTGCAGTGAATTCTTGAATGTAACCATCCCAGTTGGTCCCAAGCATAGCTCTGGGGTAGTGAGTGTTATCTCTGATGTTTATATGGGTTTGACCAATTCCAACAGGCTTCTTTTGTTGAGTCAAGTAAGTCAGCTCACTTTGAACCCAATGTGGCTGATTTTATTTGGGGCTGTTAAGACTGAGTTTTGGCACCTTTTGCTGCTTTTATTTGGGGCTGTTAAGACTGAGTTTTGGCACCTTTTGAGGCATGCAAATGGATTAACTGTTTTGTCTTAGGAGTAGCCCTGGTTTTGCAATAAATATTCAAGCAACTTAAACAAAAATATTTTAGGCAACAGGCTTCATTTTCTACTATTTAACCAAACTGTTTTTTTTAAATCTTGGCAACTTATATTAATAGAATGAAAAGATTCAACATTGAGTTCAGGGAATTATCAGGCAAGGATTGATGTTTTTGCACCAGAGACATTAACTTAGCAAAGTAATTGTGCACCAAGGCCTAGATTCAGCTTTGTAAGTTCTCAGTAAATTATGCATGTTATGTTGCATGTAATCTTAGCTCTGTGTCTCAGTTTATTTAAATATAAAATGGAAATTATGATAGTACTTATTAATATTGCTTTTTATATAATATGACACATAAGCATGAGCAAAGCAGTATCAAGCAAACTGGTGAGGTAAGGAAATGGTCAGAATAGAATAGGTTTTTAAAATAAATTTACTTGAGGAAAATGCTTAAAATCTATTTTATGTACAGCTTTAGAATTTACAAAACTTGCATGTACTTTTTGAGTTTAATAATGTAGATGCTATTGCCTACTTTTTATAGATGGGAAAACTCAGGCTTATATGGATTGTGTGTCTTGGTTAAGGTGGAACAGTCAATAAATAGCGGAAGTGGGAAGAGATTCCAGTCCTTTGCCGCCTTATCTATTTTCCACTCCTTTCTATTCTGTTTTATGGTTAAAAGTTTTAAATAAACTTTCTTTAGTGAGCATATATATATTATGTATATGTGTGTGTGTGTATGTGTGTGTATATATATAGATATATGTGTATATATACATATGTGTGTATATATAAGTATATATATGTGTACATGTGTATATATACACACATATATGTATATTTACACATATATGTATATATAAGTGTATATTTATATATGCATATATATGTATATTTTTTACCAAAGCTAGGAAAAGGTGTGTTTCTCTATTCTTTCTTTGTGTCTATGGATTCTGCTCTCTCATTGCTCTTGGGGTCCTTTGTTAACCCAGCTCAATCCCATATACACGAGCTGATTTACTCAAGAGAGTAGGATGTCTTTCCTTATTAAATTGTTCCTGGTGTGAATGTGGTCTTTGGTATTCACTTTCTTCTCAATTCCAGGTATCAGAGACTTTTTCTTCAAAGTGTCTTTTGTGCAAATTAGAGATACACCAAAATGTGGCTTCACCCTGAGAATTTGGCCAAAACGTCTGTTACTCAGATGTGAATATTTCAATCTTAGCCTTTGAAGGTCAGAGTGGCGTAGATACATCCTTAAACATAACCTCTGACACCTTTGAACTTGTAGTCAATAACAACATCATCCTATGGTTTACTATAATATCTTACCAGTTTAACAACATAAGGAATACAAACATGACATTTATTGTTGATACTTTTAAAAAATAAGTGAGCATTCTGGATGTTACTTAGAGTACAAAATCTCTTTATGTATTTTATATATGAAAATTCTTGGCTGGGCGTGGTGGCTTATGCCTTTCATTCCAGCACTTTGGGAGGCTGCGGCGGGTTGAGTTACTTGAGTTCAGGAGTTTGAGACCAGCCTGGGAAGCATGGTGAAATCCAGGCTCTACAAAAAATACAAAAATTAGCCAGGCATAGTGGCATGCACCTGTAATCCTTGCTACTCAGGTGCCTAAGGTGGGAAGATCTCTTGAGCCCAGGAGGTTGAGGCTGCAGTGTTTGCACCACTGCACTCCAGCTTGGGTGACAAAGTGAGATCCTGTCTCAGAAAAAAAGAAAGAAAAACAAATCTCACAATATTATAAGTACGAAGGCATGTTTATCATTACAATTATAAAACAGAACAATTACTATGAAAGCTGTTCATTTTGTGTATAAAATAATTAAGAATTTAAAAATAGTTAATAAATAAGAATATACATTAGCAGTTAATACAAAACATTAACAGAAACTGTGTTAGTTGGATAACTTCAGGAAGTTATTCTTTCTCAGCAAATAAATATTCATGAGAATTTAAAAAATGCAAACAAGAATAATAAAAACATTATTATGCCATAGTTCTAATATTTGTAAAATTGTTTGATGTATATTAGAGAAAATAAGCTTTAAGATCTGTCTTAGTTTGTTTGTGTTGCTATAAAGGAATACCTGAGGCTGGGTAATTTATAAAGAAATGAGGTTTATTTGGGTCACAGTTCTGCAGGCTGTACAAGAAGCATGGCACCAGCGTCTATTTTGGGGGAGGGTTTCAGACTCCTTCCACTCAGGGTGGAAGGCAAAAGGGAGCTTGCTTATGCAGATCACATGGCCAGATTGAAAAGCAAGAAAGCAGAGGAGATGCCAGGTTATTTTTCAACAAACAGTTCTTACAGGAACTGAGAGTGAGAACTTATTCACTGCTGCAAAAATGTATCAAGCCATTAATGAAGAATCTGGCCTCATGATCCAAACACCTCCTGCCAGGCCCACCTCCAATACTGGGGATCAGATTTCAACATGAGTCTTGACAGAGCCAAACAAACTATATTCAAACCATAGCAAGAGCAATATTTAAATTTTATATTAAATGTAATTCCAGGTAAGCTATGTTTCTTTCAAGAAAAATTTCTTTGGGGAATTTTTTTACATCTCGTAAGTATGAATTCAGAATGTCAACTGTGACTTTAAATTCCATGAGAAGCGAAAACTCAAAAATAAGGTAGAAAAACTAGATATGAAAAAGTATACTAGAGTAGAAGAAGAAAATAAGAGAAAAATTAGGTGTCTCCAAATTTTTTATTCTTTTACCAATTTTAATGTTATATAATGTTACAAATGTACTGTGTAGGGACGATGGAACAGCTAGCTGACCCTGCTAAACATGTATTATGCCTGCATTTTAATAAGTTTACAATCTTAGTTATAAAGGTTTAGTGATAAAATTGTAATACTCATATTTAAATATATTATGATAACATAATACATTTTGTATAAATATAAATTTTATATATCTGTAAATAAAATAGTATATTTTATGTTTCAGAACTTCCTTTTATGATGGTTATTTTTAGCTTTGGCTTGGCTTTAGTTGAATGTTGACTTTAAGACTTGGGCAGTTGATGTTTGACCAGAATCTATCTTTGGTGAACTTCTGGTACAAACTGTCTCATAATTTTTCGCAGTCATGTTGTACTCTCGGTAATGAGGTGTTGACCCTCATCAAGGGGCATCCCTACTATGCAGGGTAACTAGTTATGGTAATGGGTATCATGGTACTATCTTTATTTCTGTCAGCTGAGCCAGGATTTCTGTCAAGGATATCATATACACTGAAGACAAAACAAAACAACAACTTTTAAAACACCTCGTAGAAGTCAAGTATTACAAGAAACCCAGTATGTCAAATCCAGAGAGATAAATCATTCAAGGATTGTTACAAAACCAGAGGTGCGTGAGAAAACATAAATTCAAAGAACCAAGAATTAGTAGGAGATCTACTTCAGGAGCTAAGAATTCAAGCATTTAAGGGACCAGGAATCAAAAGGGAACACCTGGGCTGGGCATGGTGGCTCATGCCTGTAATCCCAACACTTTGGGAGGCTGAGGTGGGCGGATCATGAGGTCAGGAGATCGAGACCATCCTGGCTAACACGGTGAAACCCTGTCTCTACTAAAAATACAAACAATTAGCTGGGCTTCCTGGCCCGCGCCTGTAGTCCCAGATCCTTGGGAACTTGAGGCAGGAGAATCGCTTGAACCCGGAATGTGGAGGTTGCAGCGAGCCAAGATAGAGCCACTGCACTCCAGCCTGGGCAATAGAGTAAGACTCCCTCTCAAAAACAAACAAACAAACAAACAAGCCAAAACCAAAAAAAAAAAAAAAACCCCACAAAGAACACCTTCCTTTTACATGGCCCTAAGCCTAAAGAAAGCAAAAATTTCTGTGTCTTGTTGCCATGTTAGTGTGTTATTGACAGCAGAAATCCATGTCCCCTATCTCTTTGGCTAATTTGTAGTAGTGTGTCACAAAATGTCACTCTTAGACCTCTTCTTTGATCTCTAATCAGATACTCATGTCTTCTACCTTCCCTCTATCCAGATTCCTTTCTTTGAATTGAGTGTCTCTATAGGATAGATTATACTACTGTAATGAACAACCACAAACTTAGTGGCTCAATTTTAAAAAGGGGTTTTTAAATCTGCTTACTTAATTTTTATGTTCAATTAGGTGTCTGACTCCCTGGTAACACTCAGGACCCAGGCCGATAGAGAACCTGCCATCTCATAGCTATAGCAACCCGGAATACATGACTTCTTCAATCACCACAGCAGGGAAACAGATATTGGAGAAGAGTATTTGGACTTTTCACTGCCTACACAGAAGTGATACATGTCACTTGATTACATAACTCACATATGCATTACCTCATGTATTAGTCCAGTTTTATATTGCTATAAAGAATGATCTGAGGGTATGTAATTTATAAAGAAAAGAGGTTTAATTGACTCACAGGTCTGCATGGCTGGGGAAGCCTCAGGAAACTTATAATCATAGCTAAAGGTGAAGGGGAAGCAAGACACATCTTACACAGTGGCAGGAGAGAGAGAGGGCAAGGGGGGAACTGCCAAGCACTTTAAAACCATCAGATCCCATGAAAACTCATTCACTATTATGAGAACCATGCGGAGAAACCAATCACCTGCCACCAGGTCCTTCCCTCAACACATGGGAATTACAATTTGAGATGAGAGTTGGGTGAGGACACAGCGCCAAACCATATCACCTCACATACTCATCATTTTTGTGGTGCGAAAAAATTTATAGCCACTCTCTTAGCATTTTTCAAGAATATGATATATTATCAAGTACAGTTGTCAGGCTGTACAATGGATTGCTTGACTGTATTCCTCCTATTTAGCTGAATTTTGTGGCCTTTGACCAACAGTGCCCCAATTCTCCCCAGCCCTTGGTGGCCATCATTCTACTCTCCACTTTCGTGAGATCACCTTTATTAGATGCCACATATGAGTGAAGTCATCTGGTGTTTGTCTTTCTGTGCCTGGCTTATTTCACTAAGCATCTTTCTTTTTGATCCACTCATCTTTACGTGCCATACTTACAAATGTTTTTTCATTTTCTTTCTTTTTTATTAATATTTTGTTTTGA